>NC_000023.11:84886784-85189814 GCF_000001405.40 Homo sapiens | reverse complement strand
TGAATGCTCCTATTAGCCATTCTGACCATGCTGTATTGATAGCAGTTGTCTCGCTCCAATTGTGAAATATCCATATTAGAGCAATGAATACCAATTGAATATCAAATCTTGCCAAGTTGTATTCATAGTCTTGTGTTACAGATGTCTTGCTATGCCTGATTCTGAAAACTCCATATATTATTCAAGTGGATATTAGCATAAATTTCACAGAGAATTTTTATCTGAGAGGGGAGGTTTTAAAATAGTAGATTCACAAAGTAGCTACCTTTTGGGATGCCACGTAGCTGTTAGGAAATCTTATGTGATTACGTTTAAGTCTTTAACTGTGGGGAAGCCCAAAACTGTTCCACACATACCCAGAATTCACCACTTTACAATGCTGGAACACGGATGTAGACTTTTTGATACAACCATATTGCCGCATCAAAATTTTGTCTGCTTCAAACAGGGACTTTCTCTACAACAAGTTTTTTGGGAGTCATGCTCATATAACCAGGGATAGCATGGCACAGTGGCACATACCTGTAGTCTCAGCTACTGGGGAGGATGAGGTAGGAGGATCAATTGAGCCCAGGAGTTTGACTGTTGCTATGGCAACATAGTGAGAAACCCATCTCTTAAAACAAAAATAAAATAACCAGGGGTAGAAGAAAATTTTAAGAGAACATTCCAGCAAATTTAACAAACAAAACTTCACAGTTCCTGTGTTTGGCATATATAACTAAAAATCTGCAGCATGAAAGAATTTAGTATCAGTTGATCACTTTAATGGCTAAATTATACTTCTGTATGGGTGAGCTAATTCTGTGATCAAAAATTTACTTTATTCACTGAAATACAAAATCCAAGAATATTGTGGCCAATTTGGCAGCCACATATCAATGTAGATAATGCTTTGTCTTTAATTCAGTATGAGAACTAGAAGTGAGAAGGGAAAAGAAGCACTGTTTACTAGATACTATTGCTCTTTATCAACATTCAATAATATTAATTGAGCATTCACAAGGTGCATAGCACTCATACAAGTATGAAGAAATATCAAGATGAATGTATCCTGATTGTTAAGAAATTTGCAATCCACATAGAAAAGTAATGAAGATATTTTTTGCAAATATTTTAGATCTCTTTTTTCAAAAGTATAGTTTTGGGTATGCAATTTTTTTTTTAGAGAGATGAAGTCTTGCTCTGTTGCCCAGACTGGAGTGCAGTGGTGCAATCACAGCTCACTATAGCCTCAGACACCTGGGCTCAAGTGATCCTCTCACCTCAGCCTCCCAAGTAGCTGGGACTACAGATAGAAGCCACTGCGCCCAGGTGCAAACATTTTTGAGAAACCTATCTCTGCATAAAACGGTTGTAGCTAATTGATATTACAATTATTTTTATCTAGAGATTTCCTTTTATAGGTTTATTTTTACTTCTTACCATAACTTAACACACATACACACCACACACCTCTTCCCAACTTTTTTAAGTCCCCACATGTCTGCACATCTCACCTCACTCATTCATATCTAAAAGGACCCTTAAACCCCATATTAGCTTGAAAGTTAGCAGTTAATTAT
Organism: Homo sapiens; assembly: GCF_000001405.40. Lineage (NCBI taxonomy): Eukaryota > Metazoa > Chordata > Mammalia > Primates > Hominidae > Homo > Homo sapiens. Next base: position 85,188,249 of record NC_000023.11, on the reverse strand, counting down.
TTTCATGGAAAGTAGAAAGAAACAGGGTAACATATTTCCACCCAGCTAACATATATTTTTTGAATTTTCATTTGTATGCTATGGCCAATTATCTTTTTATGTACAGCATTTCTTTGCATGCAAGGAAGGTAAAAATTTATTTGCAAAGAGATAATGAATGGTAGAATATGCTAAAAATGTACCCGATAATTTCACAGAATCATAGTAATTTTTAGATGAACAATTAGAAACTTTTTGACTTCTGTGCTAATTTGTTTCCTTTTTACAATTATAGAGGAGGGATGAGAGGCTTCTAGGAGAATTTAAAAGGTTTAGAACTTAAAAAAAAAACATTAAAGAGAAATTAATGAAAATTCTTCTCAAACTATTCCCCAAACATTTTTTAAAAGGCAAGAACTCTTCCTAACTGATTTAACAAGGCCAGCATAACTCTGATACCAAACCAGACAAGGACACAACAACAATAACAACAAAACTACAGGCCAATATTTCTGATGAACATAGATGCAAAAGTCCTCAAGAAAATACTAACAAATGAAAACCAACAACATATCAAAAAGGTAATACACCATGATCAAATGGAATTTATCCCAGGAGTGTGAGGATGGTTCAAGATACGGAAATCAATAAATGTGATATATTACATTAACAGAATTAAGGACAAAAACCATACGATCATCTCAATAGCTGCAGAAAAGGCATTTGATAAAGATCAACATCCTTTTGTGACAAAAACTCTCAATAAATTGGTTATAGAAAGAAAGTACCTCAACACAATAAAGGTTATATATGATAAACACACTGCTCAGAATGGTGAAAAACTGAAATATTTTTCTCTAAGAACTAGAACAAGGTAAGGATGCCCACTCTCACCACTCTTACTCTACATAATACTGGAAGTTCTAACCAGAGCAATTTTAGGCAAGAGAAAAAAATAAATAAAGGGCATCCAAATTGGAAAGTCCCTATTTGCAGATGACATGGTCTTTTATATAGAGAGAAACCTAAAGAATACACCAAAAAATGTTAGAATGAGTAAAATTATACAGTAAAGTAGCAGTATCCAAAATCAAAACTCAAAAAATTATTAATGTTTCTGTTCACAAACAATGAACTATCTGAAAAAGAAATCAATTCAGTCCCATTTACAATAGTTACAAAAAATATTTAGGAATAAATCAAAACTACAAAACGCTGATGAAAGAAACTGAAGAGGATACAAACAAATGGAAAAATAGCCCATGCCCATGGATGAGAAAACTTACTATTGTTAAAATGACCATATTACCCAAGAAAATCTATATAATCAAAGCAATCTATATCAAACTACATGTGACAGAAAAAGGTGGAGCAAGATGGCTGAATAGATACACACCAGAACACCAAATTGAACAACTATCCACAAACACAAAAAGCACCTTCATAACACCCAGAAATCAGGTGAACAATCACACTACCTGGTTTTAACATCATATTAAGGAAAGAGGCACTAAAGAGGGTAAGAAGGACAGTCTTGAATAACCTACACCACCCATCCAGGATTCCTGCAGCAGCTACCATATGCTGAAGAAAGAAAATCTGTGTACTTAGGGGAAAGAGACCACAGTGACTGTGGGACTTCCTATTGAAATTTAGTATTGCACTGTCACAGCAGAAAGCACCACTGTGTCCACAGAGGGAGCATTTAGACCAGCCCTAGACAGAGGTGAATTGTCCATCCCAGTCACGTAAAAGCCTGAGTTCCAGCAAGCCATACCACCATGTGCCAAAGTGCTCTGGGGGCCTAAATAAACTTGAAAGGCAGTCTAGGCCAAAAGGACTGAAATTGCTGGTCAAATCCTGGTGCTAGGCTGGGCTTGGAGCCTTTAGACTTGGGGTGCACATGTCCTAGTGAGACAACAGCTGGGGCAGCCAAGGGAGTGTTTGCATCACCCCTTCCCCAACACCAGGCAGCTCAGTGCACAGGTCTGAGAGAGACTCCTTCCTTCTGCTTGAGGAGAGGACAGGGTAGAGTGGAGAGGACAGGGTAGAGTAAAGAGGACTTTGTCTTGCAACTTGGATACCAGCTCAGCCTCAGTAGATTAAGGGCACCAGGCAGAGTCCTGAGGGGCCCCCATTTCAAGCCCCAGCTCTGGGATGACATTTCCAGGCATGCCCAGGGCCAGAAGTGAAACTGCTGCCTTGAAGGAAAGGACCCAGTCCTGGCAGAATTTATCACCTGCTAACTAAAGAATCCTTTTAACCAGCAGTGGTAACCAGGTGGTACTCGCCGTGGGCCTTGGGTGAGACCCAGAACTAGGCTAGCTTCAGGTGTGACCCAGCACATGCCCAGCTGTGATGGTCATGAGAAGAGATTCCTGCTTGAGGAGAGGAGAGGGAAGAGTAAAGGGGACTTTGTCTTGCAACTTAGGTACCACTTTGGCCACAGGGGGGTAGAGCACCAAGTGGGCTCCTGGCATCCATGATTCAAGACCTTGGCTCCTGGATAGAATTTCTGGTCCTGCCCTGGACCAGAAGGGAGCCCATTACCATAAAGGGAAAGACTCAGGCTTGACAGCGTTTACTAAAAGCTGACTGAAGAGCCCTTAAGACTTGAGGGAACATCAGTGGTAGCCAGGCAGTGCTTGCCACAGGCCTGGGGTAGTGATAGCCATAGGGAGAGACTGCTCTGCTTGAGGAAAAGTGAGGGAATGTAGGAAGGACTTTGTCTTGTGGCTTGGGTGGCAGATCAGCTACAGTAGAATAGATCACCAGGTAGATTCCTAAGATTCCCTACCTCAGGCCCTGGCTATTGGATGGCATCTCTGGACCCACAGGGGCCAGGGAGAACTCACTCTCCTGAAGGTAAGGACACAAGCTGGCTGGCTTCGCCACCTGCTAATTGTAGAGCCGTAGGTACCTGAGTGAAAATACGCACTTGCCAGGTGGTGGTCACCATGAGCCTTGAGTGAAATACAGTGCTGGCTTCAGGTCTGACCCTGCAGATTACCAGTGATGGTGGCCACAGGGGTGCTTGTGTCACCCGTCCCCTAGCTCCAGGCAGTTCCACACACAGAGAGAGACTGAGGGAAATGTAAGAGGAGAGAGAAAAGAGTGTCTGCCTGGTAATCCAGGGAAATCTCCTGGATTTTACCCAAGACCAACAAGGTGGTACCACTATGGGGCTGCAAGATCCACAATGTTATGGGCTTGGGCTGACCCCTAATGCAGATATAGGTGCAGTGACCAAAGGCTTAGATCAAAACATCTAAGTCCCTTCAAATACCTGGAAAATCTTGCCAAAAAGGATGGGTACAAACAAGCCCAGACTGTGAATATTGCAATAAATACCTAACTTTTCAATACCCAGACACCAACAAACATACACATGCAGAGACCATTCAGGTAAACAAGACTTCACCAGATGAACTACATAAGGCACCAGTGACCAATTATGGGAAGTTAGAAATACGTCACCTTTCAGACAGAGAATTCAAAATATCCATGTTGAGGAAACACAAAGAAATTCAAAATAACACAGAGATGGAATTCATATTCCTATCAGATAAGATGAACAAAGTGATCGAAATAATTTAAAAGAATCAAGCAGACATTCTGGATCTGAAAAATGCAATTGACACACTGAAGAATGCATCAGAGTCTCTTAACTTCAGAATTGATTCAGCAAAAAAAGAATTGAGCTTGAATACAGACTATTTGAAAATATGTAGTCAGAGGAGATAAAAAATGAATAGAAAAGAATGAAGCACACCTACACATCTAGAAAATAGTCTCAAAAGGACAAATCTAAGAGTTACTAGCCTTAAAGAGGAGGTAGAGAGAGAGATAGGGGTAGAAAGTTTATTCAAAAGGATAATAACAAAGAACTTCCCAAACCTAGAGAAAGATATCAATATTCAAGTACAAGAAGACCATAGCATACCAAGATTTAACTCAAAATAAGGCTATCCCAAGAAACATAGTGATCAAGCCCCTAAAGGTCAAGTAAAAATAAAAGATCCTAAAAGTAGCAAACTTTTCGGTGGAAACCTTATAGGTTTGGATGCAACCTAAGTGTCCATCAGCAGATGAATGGAGAAATTAAATGTGGCACCTATACTCAATGGAAAACTATTCAGCCATAAAAAGAATGAGATACTGTCATCTGCAACAATATAGATGGAACTGAAGGGCATTAAGTGAAATAAGCCAGGAACAGAAAGACAAACTTCACATGTTCTCACTTATTTGTGAAAGCTAAAAATTAAAATAGCTGAACTCATGATGATAGAGAGCAGAATGACGGTTACTGGAGCCTGGGAAAGGTAGTGGGGTGGGGAAAGAGGAGATGACCAATGAATTTAAAAATATACTTAGATAGAATGAATAAGATCTAGTATTTGATAGCATAGCAGGATGGCTACAGTCAACAATAACTTATCAGATATTTTTAAATAACAAAAAGATATAATTGGATTGTTTATCACAGAGAAAGGATCAATAATTGAGGTGATGGATAACCTGATTTATTCTGTTGTGATTATTATGCATTGTGTGCCTGTATCAAAATATCTATTGTACTCCATAAATATACACTCCTACTGTGTGCCACAAAACTTCTTTTAAAAAAGGAAAACTAAACAAAAAACAAAATACTCATGACATTCTTCACATAATTTTTTTATATCTTATAATTTGTATGGTGGCACAAAAGACCCCAAGTAGCCAAAGCAGTTCTGAGCAAAAAGAACAGAGCTTTCAGGTATCATACTACCAAATTCAAAATATACTACAAAGCCTTAGTAACCAGAAGAGCATAGTACAAGTATAAACACAGATACATAGGCCAATGGTATAGAAAAGAGAGCCCAGAAATTAATCCATATATCTACAACCAACTGATTTTTGACAAAGGCACCGAGAACATTGGGGAAAGGACAGTCTCTTCAATGAAGGTGTTGGGGAAACTGGATATTCATATACACAAGAATGAAAGTAGATCCTCACCTCTCAACCTATACAAAAATCAACTCAAAATGGAAGAGAGACCTAAATATAGAACCCGAAACTATAAAAATACTAGTTAAAAAAATAAGGGAAATCCTTCAAGACATTGATCTGGGAAAAGACTTTATGATTACGACCTCAAAAGCATATGCAACAAAAGCAAAAATAAACAAATGGGATCAAACTGAAAACCTTCTGCACAGCAAAGGAAACAATCAATAGAATAAAAACAACATGAAGAATAGGAGAAATTTTTGCAAAGTATTCATCTAACAAGAGATTAATATCCAAAATGCACAAGGAACTCAAGCATCTCAACAAAAAACAAGCAGTCCAATTTAAAAATGGTCAGTTGGTCTAAACAGATATTTTTGAAAAGAAGACATACAAATGGCCAACAAATACATGAAAAAATGCTCAACATCACTAATCATCAGGGAAATTGATATCAAAACCACAATGAGGTATCCTCTCACCCTGGTTAAGATGCATATTATCAATAAGACAAAAAAAATAACAAATGCTGGTGAGGAGGTGGAGAAAAGATATTCTTACACACTGTTGGTGGAAATGTAAATTAGTGCAGCCACTATGGAGAAACAGTATGGAAGTTCCTCAAAAAACTAAAAATAGAACTAACATATGATTTAGCAATTCTACTACCATGCAAGGAAAAGAAATCAAAGGATATCAAAGAGGTATCTGCACCACCATGTTTACTGAAGCACTATTCACGGTAGCTACGATATAGAAACAACCAAGGTGTCAAACAACAGATGAATGGATAAAGAAAATGTGGTATGTATACACAATGGAATACTATTCAGCCATAAAACAGAATGAAATCCTGTCATTCCTGGCAACATGGATGTAACTGGAGAACATTATGTTAATGAAATAAGCCAGGAATAGAAATATAGATAGTGCATGTTCTCACTTATATTTGGGAGCAGAGTAAGGTGACCTCATAAAAGTAGAGAGAAGAATTATGGTTATTAGGGATTGGGAAGGGTAGGGGAAAGGAGAGGATAGGGAAATATTTGTTAAAGGATACAAAATTACAGCTAGATAGAAGGATTAATTTCCAGTGTTCTGTACCACTGTAGGATGACTATAGTTAACAACAATATATAGTTTCAAATAGATAAAAGAGGATATCAAAAATTTTCAATACAAAGAAATGATAAATGTTTGATATGATGGATATGCTAATTACCCTGATCTGATTAATATACATTATATGCATAACAATATCACTGTGTACTCCATAAATATGTGTAATTATTATGTGTCCAGTTAAAATTTTTTTAATTAAAGAAAACTTGCTTTAAGAGGTATATGTTTCAAATGTACAAAAAAATCCAGAAAAATGTACACATTGTTTTAGTGCTTCATGCTAAAAAGAATTTGCATCTTTCCCTATAATAATCTACTAGTTTGTATTACAATTTTGATATTTGAAGCACTTTACCTTTAAGTAGTTAAAACAGTCCTGCAAGACAGAGATGGCTCACATTCCAATTTTTCCTTCTTTTTTAGAGGTGAGAAAACAAATATAAAGAGCTGTGATTTGACTGTGAGCACTAGCCAAACCCATAGATGTATGCTCTTTCTGAGAGATAAGGACCTTTGAAATAATTTGAGTATGATTTTGCAGATTGCATTCAGGTTTTGCTTTCAGAGTTAAAGGAGAGGGACTGGTGACTAACACTCAGAAAAATCTGACTCCTACCCATCTACACCCCACAGGCAAGTTGGATTTGAGTCTGCTCTGAGGTAGTCTGGAATGCTCCCAGAGATTTTGATCCATACTGAATCCCCAGTTCCTCTCAAAATAAAACTGAAATACTAGGTTAATCTGGGAACTGCCTCACGTCTCTTGGAGTAGGCATCTTGAATTGCTCTAGACTTTAGATAATCCTCTGGTTCCTCCTTAGATTGAATCAGAAATGGACTACCAAAAAGAAAGAGAGGAAAGCAGTATTTCCATGGGCATTCACTTAGATGAATTTTTCTCAATATTTGGTTCCAGGAGGGAAAAGAATATATATATATATGTGTATATATATATATATACACACACACATATATATATATCTGTCTGTGTGTATGAGTATGTGTATATACTCTGTCACACACGTATATACACACACACACACACACACATTACATTCAGCTGTTTTTCACTTACGTTTTTCAGGTTGAGGTTTTTTATCAAATGACACATTTTTCTCTTGTTAAACGATTTTTATAATCTTGGCCAGCAGCAGTTCTCATCTTTCCACTTAGATTGTACTTAATGTCTCCTGAAGCAAAGAAGAGAAATTAAAATAAGGAGAATAAGGAAATTAACTATATGCATCTTGAAAATATATATAACATTTTTGAATGTTATAAAAAAGTCAAAATCTGAAATGTGTGAGACAAGGTAGAATAGCTAAGTCATGAAACAAGATGGAGAAAATTGAATCAGGAGCTTATAAACTAGAAGCAGCTGCTCTGCTGTTAACTTTGAGTCCAGTCTTAATTTTAAGCACATTCCACCCTGGATCTGCCTACTCCAATATAATTGGAATACAATTTGTAACAGGAATCAAATTTGCAATAAATGAAAATTATGTATCATTAACTTGATTTTCAGATTGAATATACTTTGATAAATTATAGTAATTTGCCACATAAGGACATTTCTGTCAATGACAGATGGCATATATGATGCTTGTTCCATAAGATTATAACACAATATAAACAATATGTTTAGATACACACATACCATTGTGTTGGTTGCCTACAGTGTTCGGTACAGTTACATACTGTACATGTGTGTAGCCTAGGAACAATAGGCTATACCATATAACCTAGGTATGTAGTAGGCTATATCATCTAGGTTTGTGTAAGTACACTCTATGATGTTCTCATAATAACAGAAGTGCCTAATGGTGCATTCTCAGAACATTCCTCCACTGCCTGACTTCATATAGACAGTGAACAGGGGAGGGAAGGAATACTGAAGAGAATGGAAGAGGAAAAGACTTTTGAAGACAGTGATCTGCCTACTCTGTCCCAACCTAATAGAGTGCTTTGAACGTGGTAGAAAAGCTGACTATTTAAATCCTTTTTGACCTCGCTAAAGCATTTGACCCTGCTAACTTAAAGTTATTTAACCTGTGTTTTATAGTTTCTTATCTGTAAAACTCATTCCTATGAGTTTTGAGGATGTTGTGAGGATTAAATGAGTTTTGAGGATATTGTGAGGATTAAATGGTAATGTATATAAAGTACCCAGCATACATCCTGGCACATGAATACTCAAACTATGCTAGGTATTATTGTGTGTGTGTGTTTTTTTTTTAATTATTCAGGAGTCAGCTGTGGTTTAGTAGAAAGAAGATTGAACTTCTAGTTCAAAGACCTGGTTTTGAATCCTGGTTCTGTTGCTTAGTCCCATGGCCCTGTGCAGTCTCTTAACGTTTCTTGCCCTTGATTTCCTTGTTTGTAAAAATAGAGGTAGTAAGACTATGCAGGGCAGTGTTGAAAATTAAAACAGAAGTCCTATTTTATAGATATCCTATATATAGGAAAATATGGCATATGGTAGATGCTCAATATATGTTAGTTCTTCTCTACTCCATTACCTTATTCCTATTGCATCCCAGAGTACCTAGCTCACAGTAAAGGCTAATGAATATTGAATGGACAGTTGATTGGGAAAAGAAAAAGAAAACATTAGAACTACTCGATTACTGTGATTCAATAGGTTCTGATTAAATAAATCAAGTAAGTGAAAAGATCAAGATCACTGAACGATTTCTCAGATGCTGATCACATGCTTCCAAACTCGGAGCTTAGTACACTCTAACCCAAAGTGGAAAATGAGGAAACAGAAACAAAAACTATTCTGATATTTTTTTTAAATTAGATAACAGACTACATGAATTATTTTCATTGGTTTTTACTGAGAAAAATATTAAGAATAGCACTTGTCTCAAAAGGTTTAGTAAATCAAATGTCAGAGGTATTGTGTAAATTATTTTAAATGTGTAGAATGGTCTATATCTGTTCTGTCCAATATAGTAGCCACTAGCCACATGTGGCTATTTACATACAAATTTGAATTTAACAAAATAAAATGAAAATTCTAAAAATCTGTTCCTTAGTTATACTTGCCACATTTCAAGTCCACAATAGCCACATGTGCCTAGTGGGTAACATCCTGTACAGCACAGATTTATAGAACATTTACATCATCACGGAAAGTTCCATTTGAAATCATTGGTCAAGAGTTAATCAATTTACTAAGTATAGGAGAATCATAATGGCCAGAGAGCATCTCCTGAAGAGTCTGGAAGTAAAAGTTGAAATGTGGGACAAATGACCAAGAAGTGTTGCATTTTGTTACAAATGATCACCATGTTAACTACATTCCATAAAGATAGAATAATGAGAACTATAGACCAATAATTCTTGTTCTTTCATGGTGAGTGAGGTGGTAGATTAACAAAGATCATCAAATGCTTAAGAAAACATAACCTAAAAGGTAAAAATAATCATGATTTCTGTAAAGAAAAATTACGACTGACTAAATCAGCTAGAGGTTTGTTTTTTTGTTTTTTTTTGTTTGTTTGTTTGTTTGTTTTTGTTTTTTTTTTTTTGAGCATTTTGTGTGGGCTGAAGTGGTTATAACTCATTTAGACCTTCAAAAACTTTTGACAAAAGCCAGGCACTTGTGTTGCACTACTAGAATTCCAGCTACTTGGAAGGCTAAGGCAGGAGGATCAGTTGGGCCCAAGAGTTCAAGACCTGCCTGGGAAACATAGGGAGACTGTTTCTAAAACAAAAACAAAAACAAAAACAAAATCTTTGACAGGTTTCCATACCAAAGGACCTTTAAAATTTATGTCAGCATGGAGCTAGAGAGAGCATCTGTCATTAAATAGATGGTCTCCAGAATTTCTTCTAGACTAATATTTGCTGTTGGCATTCTTGGGAATGAACTGTCAAATTGATGAGGATAATCTACATAGGGATCTGCCAAGGCTGAATGAGAGGCAGAACTGAAACAGATAATCTTCTGTGAGCTAAATGTTATTTATTAGAAAATGGGCTTCAAAGGGTAACCTTGACATATGACATACTGAGATCACAGAGTTAAAGGATGGCCAAAAAACCTCCTTTGATTCTTCAAATATGAAGGAAGCTTAAGGAAATCTAAAATATGATATGCTGAAAAGGATACAGAATCTTACACTGGAATATCATATAATCTTAGCTGACCTCTAGTCTGCTTTCCCATCTGAAGATGCTTCTTCTATCTCATCTTAGTCTTCTGGAATGCTTCCAATTTTGAAGGATTTTTTTTAGGTGTGAACCACCTCACTGGAACAATCCATTTAATTATTTATTGACCCAATTGTTAGAAACTAAATGCATTACATTGAGCTGAAATTTCCCCCACCCTGTAATCTCCACCATTAGTTTTGGTTCTGCCTTTTGGAACTGTGCAAAATTAGTATAATTGCTCTTCCACATAAATGTCCTATCTATACTTTATGACATAAATCATGTACAATATGTACAGAATATTTTTCCTGCTCCTATTACACTTAGAGTCTAGAAGGAAAGCAAACATTTAAAAAATAACCACCCAAATTGGGTATATAGTTGCACAGTGAGATGTGTTACAAAAGAGAGAAACATCTTCCTACAAGAGTGTATGACAGAAGAACTTGACCTAGACTTGTCCATTGTTTCATGGATTTTTGTCATATCCCGAATATCAAGAATAATGATGTTTGTCTGTATTCCCACACATCCCAGCAAAGGACTGGGGACCTGAGAGGTTCGCAACAAATGTTTATTTTAAAATAACTTTTTAAGTTTGATATAAATTGACCTACAAAAAAGTTGCAAAAATAGTACAGTGAGTTCTCATATTACTTTGACTCAGCTTCTCCTAGTTCTCATACCTTATGTAACCATAGTACATTATCAAAATCAGGAAAATAGCAAAGGAACAATATTAACTAAACTCTAGATCTTATGTGAATTTCAACAGTTTTCCCACTAATATAATTTTCCTGGTCTAGGATCTAATTCAGAATCCCACATTGTACTTCTCTCTCCTTAGTCTCTTCAACTCTGTTTAGAGACACCCAGTCTTTGTTTTATATGACCTTGACACACTTGAATAATGCTAGTCAGTTATTTTGTAGAATGTCCCTTCAATGAGTTTGATGCTTTCTCATGATTACATTGAGGCCACTCATTTTTGGCAAGAAAACCACAGAAGTGACCTGCCCTTCATAGTGCATCTTATTAGGGATTACATGATGTTGATATATCTTATTACTAGTAATGTTAACCTTGGTTTACATAGTTAAGGTGGTGTCTGCCAGATTGCTTTTAAAACATACTTTTATTTATTCCATTATTAAAAGCAAAACACTGAAAAATTTCTGAATGAGTACTAATTTAAATAGAGAAAAATTTTTTCCGACTTATCTTCTCCAACCACTCAGTTCCCAACCTCTGACCCCCTAAACAGCAATCAATTTTACGGTTGCTTGTGTAGAATTTATTTATATAAATGTAAACAAATATGTACATATATTCTAATTTCCTCTCTTTTCATACAGAAAAGCAAACATATTATACACACTCTTGTGCATTGTTTTGTTCACTTAGCATATCTTGGAGAGCTATTCAGATCAGTACAGAGATAACTATTCTTCTTTTGTAAAGTTCCATAGCATTCCATTGTATAGATGTACGATAGATTTATTTAACCAGGCTCTCTTAGTAGGCATTTGTCTGGTTTCCAGTTCTTTTCTACTGCAATTTATACTGCAATAAAAGTTGTGTGAATTCATCAGTTTGTACCTGTGGAAATATATTCTATAGGATAGACTACCAGAAGTGATATAGCTGAGTCAAATGATATATGCATTTGTAATTGCCATACTGCTTTTTCACCAGCCATTTTCCTCGCAGTCTTGCCAATAGAATATATTATCACGCTTTCATATCTTTACCAAAATGGTAGACAAAAATGGTACCTCAGTGTGATTATAGTCACATTTCTCTTATTATGAGTGAAGTCTTTTTATATGTATAAGATCCATTTGAGTTTCCTTTTCAGTAACTGTTCATCTAATTTGCCCATTTTAAAAAATAAGTTGTTGATCCTTTACTTCAAGATTTTGAAGATATCTTTATATATTAAGGAAAATTAGCCCTTTGTAATATTTATCCTGGATATCTTTTGTTTGGTGCTTTAGATGTAATCTCCATCTTTGCTCTCTGCCCTCAGAATGCTGACCCATATAATTATCAATGGGCTTCCTTGGCCTCTGGCTTCTGATTGAGTTTGGTCAATAGGAAGTAATATCAGGAGATAAGAGGGAGGGAGGAGAGTAAGATTGAAGTATTTATTCCTCCAGCTCCTTCTTTACCAGGTTGCCTTGCAATGACTGCCCCCCTTGACTAAAGTGGTCTTCTCCATAAAATTCTTTCCTCCCAGGTTCCAGTAACCATTCCCTCTCCTCATTTTTTTTAAGCCAAGGGGCGTCAAAAGCCTTAATATTTCCAGCTCTGGGGTATTACATTATTGTGGTTCCTTTATTTAATCTGTCCACACCTTTCCAAATAGTCCCTTTATTAAACTGTCCTTTAATTAATCTGATTTCCTGTGCCATCTGTTTCTTCCTGGGATTCTGGTTAATAAAATATGATTTGCAAATGTTTTATTACAGTTTCCTCATGTCTTTTCTCAGGGTGATTTGTCAATTTAGAAGTGTTTTGTTTTGTTTCCAATGTGGTAAAATTTTATTAGTAATTTTTATGGTTGCTGTATTTTGAGTCATAGTTGGAAAGAACTTTCCTACTCCAATGTTATAAAAGATTTCTCTCCTATTTTCTTCTAGTAGTTATATGGTTTCAATTCTTTATAGGTAAATATTTGATTTATTTTGAATTACTCTGGTGTATAGAGTAAGGCAGGCAGTCTAAAACTTGAGCATGCATTCAAATCACCTAGAGAACTTTTTAAAACAGATTGCTGGGGTGTGCCCTAGAGGTTCTAATTCACTAAGTCTGGAGAGGGGCCCAACAAATTTCACTACTAACAAGTTCCATGGTTGATGCTGATGCACTGGTCTGAACCACACTGAAAATCATTTCTGTAAGGCATAGATCCAATATTAATTTTTTCTAAATTGCTTCCTGGTTGTCACAACACTAGATAATTATTCCAACTCTCCTTCACACTTACAGTGTACTAAATTCTGATGTCTAGTCAATGCCTAGATTCATTTTTGCTTTGTTGGATTGTTTATTAATGCCTCCGTACCATATAGGTTTTGTTATTAAAGTCTTATATTTTAATATCTGATAAGACTAGTATCTTCTCATTGTCTTTTTCAGTTTCATTCTCTATTTATTTTCATATGAAATTTACAATCAGTTCATCTAGCTAAAACAAATATTACAAATCTATTATATTTTTATTGCAATCATGGGAATGTTATTAGTTGAGAGAAAATTTACACTATTTGATTTTGATTTTGATTGTCCATGAAAATGGTATGTCTTTCCCCATCTGTTAAGTTATTCTCTTAGATTTCTGGTGTTTAAAAGTTTTATCCGCTAGATGCAGTGGCTTACACATGTAATCCCACCACTTTGGGAGGCTGAGGTGGGCAGATCACCTGAGGTCAGGAGTTTGAGACCAGCCTGATCAATATGGTGAAACTCCATCTCTACTAAAAATACAAAAATTAGCCAGGTGTGGTGGTGGTCACCTGTAATCCCAAATACTCGGGAGGCTGAAACAGGAGAATCACTTGAACCCAGGAGGCGGAGGTTGCAGTGAGCCGAGATTATGCCATTGCACTCCAGCCTGGGCAACAAGAGTGAGACTCCATCTCAAAAAAAAAAAAAAGTTTTATCCATACAGGTCTTATACTTTTATTATTAAGTATATGCTTAGGTATTTGGTCTTTTTATTGCTGCTATAAAGAAACATGCACACGTATGTTTATTGCGGCACTATTCACAGTAGCAAAGACTTGGAACCAACCCAAATGCCTATCAATGATAGAATGGATTAAGAAAATGTGGCACATATACACCATGGAATACTATGCAGCCATAAAAAAGGATGAGTTCATGTCCTTTGTAGGGACATTGATGAAGCTGGAAACCATCATTCTGAGCAAACTATCACAAGGACAGAAAAACCAAACACCGCATGTTCTCACTCATAGGTGGGAATTGAACAACGAGAACACTTGGACACAGGGTGGGGAACATCACACACCAGGGCCTGTCGTGGGGATGGGGGAGGGGGGAGGGATAGCATTAGGAGATATACCTAATGTAAATGACGAGTTAATGGGTGGAGCAAACCAACATGGCACATGTATACATATGTAACAAACCTGCACGTTGCACACATGTACCCTAGAACTTAAAGTATAATAATAATTAAAAAAAAAGACTTCTGGAGGCAATTTAAAAGATTGTGAAAACATAGGACATATAGATCAAATGCATGTTTACACTTAAAACCTTACAATTTTTTTTTAACGTGTGTGTTTAAGTGTTTGAAATGCTTTCCTCTAAAAGTTATATCTCCTAATTTGGAAAGTTGTATATGGGTAGAAGGGGAAAAACTTCAAAACTATAATGGCTTTGAAAATCTGTCAATATTAATCAACAACTTAAAAATGTATATTAGAAAATAAAACATTTAATATCATAAAAAAAAGAAAACCATGGAAAAATTTCAATAATGGGGAAAAAAAGACCTGTAGTCTCACCCATAAAGAAAAATGCAGTCCATATTTTGGTAAATGTATATCTATAATTTATGTATACATTAGAAAAAAGGATAGTACTGATCCTTCAATATCTACAGTTTCATATTTTCCTATTTTTTACTTGATGGAGTCTTGTTTTAAAATGCCTTTAGTATAATGCAAATCACTTAAAATTTTATGAAAATAAGCATAATCTGATACTACTTGTACAGTCCAGTAAATAATTTGGCCCTGGGTCCTTAACTACAGGTTTTATTATTTTGAGTTTTCACAGAAGAGGCTCCTGCTCAAAGACTTGCAAAACATGAACAATGATATAAAAGTTAATCACTGCCATCACCATCTACTTTTAAAAATGGAGAATTTCATCTAGTGGCTTTTTCTCATGGCGTGGATATTTGTTTATAAAAACATATTTTAAAAATAATTCTAGAAAATTTGAGGGCATCATAATATTAACTAACATGGCAAGAAAAATCAGAATAAAAATTAAGAAATTTTAGGACTTTAGTCAAAATATAACATTCTTTCTCTTGGCTTTTCTTTTTAATATAGATGCCCATCTTATAGAGGTACAAAACTAATCTAATCTTATGGCTCCCAAACCAGCTAATAACCCTGTAACCAGGTTTCTATTTGTTTGTTTTTGTTTTCTTTGTAAGTAGGACTTTTAGGATTCATGTTATCTATGATGTCATACAATCTAGGCAATATATTAACAGTAGTTTAACACAAGGTAGTGGTTAAAAGTTGTATTTTAATTATTTTTTAAATTGTTGATCCATGTATTTATGTATTTATTATTGCATAAGACGTGCCTATATGAGCCCTAAGTTAAGACAGTCTGTCAAAGAAGCATAGAGAACAGAAGGAAAGATGAAAGAATGGTAGGACATTTGAAGTATAGAATAAAGGAAAGCACTTTCCTTTGCCTCTGGTCTAGTATTCATACTATTTGAACTCTCTAAGCACCACATTGTCTTCCTTCTAAACACTTCTCACAGTAACAATTTCACATTTATTTGTATGAATATTTCATGTATAATCATCTTTTTTACTAGACTAGAAGCACTATGATAGGCAAAACTGTTTGTGTTATTTGACATTACATCTCCAGTATCAAATAGAGTGTCTAACATGTAGTAGATACTCAATAAACATTTTTAAATAAATGTCTATGTAAATGAATGTTATGGTTAAACACTTTACAGACATTCCCCACATACATGCGTATATCCTCTTTAGGTAAATATCCACATGAATACTGCCTTTTTCTCCCAGTAAAAGTTCCAGAGGGTTTGAAGGAGAAGGAAAGAAGATATAAGATAATTGAAGGAAAGAAGATATAAGATAATTGGTTGATAATTTTCCTTTCTTGCTTTTTAATGTCTTAGTGAAGAATTCAGGAAATTGTGGCCACAGTGATCACTTCAAAAGCAGTGTGAGTGATATGATTTCAGGGGCAAACAAATTATGTATTGAATTATATCTCCTGTCAGTCTGCCATGGCACTACTAGACGTTGTCATTAGTAGAACAATTTCTTTAACTTGGCATTCTCTTTAAATCATTCCTGCAATCTAGACATTAATGCTCATAAACACATGAGAGAGGATTTGTTCACTTAATACAATACTCTTTTGAGCAGAGTATGCAGAAATACTTACAAGGGCTTTACTCTTCATTTTGTAAACTAAAGAATGCTAGCTATAGCCTCATATAGTGAATGATTTGTTGCTATATATAGTTCCCACAAGGTGGGTAAGTTTTGTCCCCATTTTTTAGAAACTAGAAAAAGAGTAATGTCTTTTCTAATGACCTACTCGATTCAGGAGTATTTAGCAAGGACAAAGTTCCTGAATGTGAGAGAGACTTTATATCTTCTCATTTCAGGTTGAGGGTATTTACACTTATGTGAATAGGAAAAGAAAGCTAGATTTTCTTATCATAATTTGAACAGAAACAGAAAAGGAGAGATTTTCTAAACATGAAAACATTAGAATGATATTGCAGATTGCAATTATGTATTCATTAACCGTACTTCAATAACATAATTGAAATAACGATACAAGAAAGTACAGTTCTTAGAGTGTTGATGCTATTACAAAAATAAATATTCACAGTTAAGTTTTAATATTCCCATGGATTCAATCTTATGAGACTCAAAAAGTAAACAACCAACAATAAAAGAAATATTTAGTTCTAACTAGATCACTAGGGCGCCTAAAGCAGACTTTTGCCTTGTGATCACAATACAGGAATGAGAATAAGTTTACCCTGATTTATGCCGGTTCTCATATGTGCTCTCTTGTAATCAGTGGCTGACATTTATGGCTTATGACCATATTATTCTATTAGTATTTCTTACTTTTAAATTACCAGTTATGCAAGATTTTCTTGACTCTACAGGTAACCTTTTTAGTGATCAGATCATCCAGATATGACACACATGATATTTTATGAAAATTTATTCGCACAGTAAAATAAAACTCATGAGAGTATTTGTTCATTCATGCATTAATTCATGTGTTCAAGCATTTATATAATTTCTGTTGTATGTCCCATGCTTATACCAGATAATGTTAATAACTGGAAGAAAAATATCAAATTCACAAATGATCCTTTGTCTAGACCTCTAACAAAAGAGCTAACTTCTTTCTTTTTGTCTCATATATTGTTTCTTCATTAAAGACTACTATTGTTTTAAGCGCATTTGCATTTCATTTATCCAAATCAATGTTTGACTTACACAGGTTTTGCATTTTACACTGGAATCCAAACTCAGTTAACACATTTATATGGAAATTCCTGATTTTCTCAAGCCATGAAACATGGCTGTATACAAACCAAAAGACAGACTTTTAAGTGAAAGTAAAAACAGAGGGATAATTCATGATTTTACTAATTGTTCTTTCCTGCTGTGGACATTAGCCTAAGATTGTAAGACATACTGTTTGCTTTTCATCGGTACATAGATTGCTTTGAATCATCTTAGATTTAAATATTAGTTTAAACCAAGTAAACTAATATTTTCCATATATCACTGTTGATCTGAGAAAGGCAAAATAAAATGTCGCAGAAAAAATATTCCTGTTCAATTACTGAGATTCCTTTAGTGTTTCTGGACAACTAAATATTTTTGTTACTTTTCTTATAGTTTAAACTTTTATTTTAAGTTCACAGGTACATGTGCAGGTTTGTTATAGAGGAAAACTCGTCTCATGGGGGTTTGTTGTACAGATTATTTTGTCACCCAGGTATTAAGCCTAGTACCCGTTAGTTATTTTTTCTGATCCTCTCCCTTGTCCCAACCTCCACTCTTAAGTAGGCCCCAGTATCTATTGTTCCCCTCTACATGTCCATATGTTCTCATCATTTAGCTCCCACTCATAAGTGAGAACATGTGGTATTTGTTTTTTTGTTGTTGTTGTTCTTCATTAGTTTGCTAAGGATAATGACCTCCAGCTCTATCCATATTCCTGGATGATAATCTTGTTCTTTTTTATAGCTGCATAGTATTCCATGCTTTACATGTATCACATTTTCTTCATGCAGTCTACCATTGATGGGCATTTAGGTTGATTTCATGTCTTTGCCATTGTGAATAGTGCTACAATGAACATACATGTGCATATGTCTTTATGATAGAACAATTTATATTCCTTTAAGTATACACCAAGTAATGGGATTGCTGAATCTAATGGTAGTTCTGTTTTCAGCTATTTGAGGAATCACAACACTACTTTCCACAATTGTTGAATTAATTTACCTCCAACCAACAGTGTATAAGCATTCCTTTTTCTCCACAACCTCACCAGCATCTGTTACTTTTTGACTTTTTAATAATAGACATTCTGAGTGGTGTGAGATAGTATCTCATTGTGGTTTTAATTTGCATTTCTCTAATGATCAATGATGTTGAGCTTTTTTGCATGTTTTTGTTGGCTGCATGTATGTTTTCTTTTGAAAAGTGTCTTTTCTTGTCTTTTGCCCACTTTTTAATGGGATTGCTTGTTTTTTTTTCTTGTAAATTTGTTAAAGTTCCTTATAGATGCTGGATATTAGACCTTTGTCAGATGCAGCTTACAAATATTTTTACCCATTCTATAGGTCATCTGCTTACTTTGTTGATAGTTTCTTTTGCTGTGCAGAAACTCTTTAGTTTAATTACATCCTATTTGTCAATTTTTGCTTTTGTTGCAGTTGGTTCTGGCATCTTTGTCATGAAATATTTGCCCATTCCTATGTCCAAAATGGTATTGCCTAGGCTGTCTTCCAGGGTTTTTATACTTTTGGGTTTTACATTTAAGTCTTTACTCCATCTTGAGTTTATTTTTGTGTATGGTGTAAGAGTGGGATCCAGTTAGTCTTCTGCATGTGGCTAGCCACTTAACCCAGCACCATTTATTGAATAGGGAGTCTTTTTCCCATTGCTTGTTTTTGTCATCTTTGTCAAAGATCGGATGGTTATAGGTGTATGGCCTTATTTATGGGCTCTCTATTCTGTTCTATTGGTCTATAAGTCTGTTTTTGTACAAGTAGTATGCTGTTTCGGTTACTGTAGCCCTGTAATATAGTTTGAAGTTGGGTAATGTGATAGCTCCAGCTTTGTTCTTTCTGCTTAGGATTGTTGTGGCTATTCGGGCTCATTTTTTGTTCCATTTGAATTTTAAAATATTTTTTTCTAGTTCTGTGAGGAAAGTAATTGCTAGGTTGATAGAAATAGCATTGAACCTATAAATTGTTTTGGGAAGTATGGCCATTTTAACAATATTTATTTTTCATATCCATGAGCATGGAATGTTTTTCCACTTCTTTGTGTCATCTCTGATTTCTTTGAACAGTGTTTTGTAGTTCTCATTGTAGAAATCTTTCACCTCCCTCCTTAGCTGTATTCCTACGTATTCTTTTTGTGGCAATTGTAAATGGGAGTTCATTCCTGATTTGGCTCTCAGCTTGACCGTTTTTGGTGTATAGGAATGCTAACGACTTTTGTACATTGATTTTGTATCCTAGACTTTGCTGAAGTTGTTTATCAGCTTAATGAGCTTTTTGGCTGAGACTATGGAACTTTATAGATATAGGATCATGTCGTGTGCAAACAGGGATAGTTTGACTTCCTCTCTTACTATTTGAATCTCCTTTATTTCTTCTCTTGCCTTATTGCTCTGGCCAGGACTTCTGATACTACGTTGAATAGGAGTGGTGAGAGAGGGCATCCTTGTCTGATTTTTCAAGGGGAACACTTCCAGCTTTTGCCCATTCAGTATCAGGTCAACTATGGGTTTGTTACATATGGCTCTTATTATTTTGAGGTATATTCTTTCAATAGCTAGTTTATTGAGAGTTTTTAATATGAAAGGGTGTTGAATTTTATCAAAAGCCTTTCTGCATCTATTGAGACAATCATGTGTTTTTTTTTTTGTTCTTAGTTCTATTTAAGTGATTAATCACACTTATTGATTTGTGTATGTTGAACCAATCTTGCATCCCAGGGATAAAGCGTACTTGATCGTGATGGACAAGTAGGCTTTGATGTGCTGCTCAATTAGGCTTGCTAGTATTTTGTTGAGGATTTTTCCATTGATGTTCAAGGATATAGGCCTGAAGTTTTCTGGTTTTGTTGTATCTCTGCCAAGTTTTGGTATCAGGATGATGCTAGCCTCATAGAATGAGTCCCTCTTCCTCAATTTTTTGGAATAGTTTCAATAGGAGTGGTACCTGCTCTTCTTTGTACATCTGGTAAAATTAGGGTGTGAATCCATCTGATCCTGGGCTTTTTTCTTGTTGTTGCTAAGCTATTTATTACTGCCTCAATTTCAGAACTCGTTATTGGTCTGTTTGGGGATTCAATTTCTTCCTGGTTCAGTCTTGGGAGGATGTATGTGTCCAGGAATTTATCCATTTCCTCTAAATTTTCTAGTTTGTGTGCATAGATGTGTTCATAATATTTTCTGATGGTTATTTGTATATCTGTGACATCAGTGGTAATATCTCATTTGTCATTTTTAATTATGTTTATTTTTATTTCCATTTTATTATTATTATTTCAATAGTTTTGGGGGAACAAGTGGTGTTTGGTTACATGTATAAGTTATTTAGGGGTGATATCTGAGATTCTGGTGCACCCATCAACTGAACAAGTGTACACTGTACCCAATGTGTGGTCTTTTGTCCCTCATCAACCCCCCCCCCATCTCTCTGATTCCCCAGAGTTCATTATATCAATCATCCGTATGCTTTTGTGTCCTCACAGCTTAGCTCCGGCTTACAAGTGAGAACATATGATGTTTGGTTTTCTATTCTTGAGTTACTTCATATAGAATAGTGGTCTCCAACTCCACCCAGGTAGCTGAGAATGCCATTATTTTGTTCCTTTTTATGGCTGAGTAGTATTCCATGAGATATGTATATACACACACACATATATACCACACATATATACACACACCTTTATACCATGTACACACACACACACACACACACACACACACACACACACACATACACATATATATATATATATATATACCCCATTTTCTTTATTCACTTATTGGTTGATGGTTACTTAGACTGGTTCCATATTTTTGCAATTGTGGATTGTGCTGGTATAAACATGCATGTGCAGGTATCTTTTTCATATAGTGACTTCTTTTCCTCTGGGTAGATACCCAGCAGCGGGATTGCTGGATCAAATCGTAGCTCTACTTTTAGTTCTTTAAGGAGTCTCCATACTGTTTTCCATAATGGTTGTACTAGTTTACATTTCCACCAGCAGTGTAAAAGTGTACCCTTTTCACCATATCCACACCAACATTTATTATTTTTTGATTTTTTAGTTATGGCCTTTCTTGTAGGAGTAAGGTGGTATCACATTGTGGTTTTGATTTGTATTTCTCTGATAATTAGTGATTTGGGGCATTTTTTAATATATTCATTGGCCATTTGTATATCTTCTTTTGAGAACTGTCTATTCACGTCCTTAGCTCAGTTGTGATGGAATTATTTGAATTTTTTCTTGATGATTTGTTTGAGTTCCTTGTAGATTCTGGATATTAGTCCTTTGTTGGATGCACAGATTGTGAAAATTTTATCCCACTCTGTTGGTTGTCTGTTTGCTGATTATTTCTCTTGCTGTGCAGACCCTTTTTAGTTTAATTAAGTCCCAGCTATTTATCTCTTTTGTTGTTGTTGCAGGTACCTTTGTGCTATTGGTCATTAATTCTTTGCCTAAGACAATGTCCAGAAGAGCTTTTTTGGTGTTATCTTCTAGAATTTTTGTGGTTTGGGGTCTTAGATTTAAGTCTTTGATCCATCTTGAGTTGATTTTTTAACAAGGTGAGAGATAAGGATCCAGTTTCATTTTTCTACATGTGGCTTGCCAATTATCCCAGCACCATTTATTACATAGGGTGTCCTTTCCCCACTTTTTGTTTTTGTATGTCTTGTTGAAGATCCGTTGGCTATAGGTATTTGGCTTTATTTTTTGGTTTTCTATTCTGTTCCATTGATCTACTTGCTTACTATTATACCAGTGCCATGCTGCTTTAGTAACTATAGGCTGGTAGTACAGTTTGAACTCAGGTAATGTGATGCCTCTAGATTTGTTCTTTTTGTTTAGTCTTGCTTTGGCTATGAGGGCTCTTTTTTGGTTTCATAAGAATTTTAGAATTATTTTTTCAATGGGGGATAGCACCATATCAAGGGATCACCCCATGGGATAAAATATTCTGAAAAGCAGCCATTGAGTTTCAGATATTTCCACTGAAACAGTCTACCCAAATGAGAAGAAACCAGAAAAGTAAATTCTGGTAATATTACAAAACAAGGTCCTTAACACCTCCCAAAGATTACATTAGGTCTTCAGCAATGGATCCAAACCAACCAGAAATCTCTAAATTGCCAGATAAAGAATTCAGAAGGTTGATTATTAAGCTATTCAATTAGGTACCAGAGAAAGGTGAAAATCAACTTAAAGAAAAAAAAAAGAAAAATACAGCATATGGCTGAAAAAGTCTCCAGAGAAATAGAGATCATAAAGAAAAAAAAAATCACAGCTTCTGGAAATGAAAGACACACTTAGAGAAATACAAAATTAACTGGAAAGTTCCAACAATAGACTAGAACAAGTAGAAGAAAGAACTTCAGAGCTTGAAGACAAGGCTGTCAAATTAACCTAATCCGACCAAGACAAGGAAAAAAGAATTTTAAATAATGAACAAAGCCGCCAAGAAATTGAGGATTATGTTAAATGACTAAACATAAGAATAATTAGTTTTCCTGAGGGAGAGGAGAAATCTAAATGTCTGGAAAACTTATTTGAGGGAATAATCAAGGAAAACTTCCCTGGCCTTGTTAGAGATCTAGACATCCAAACACGAGACGCTCAAAGAACACCCAGGAAATTTATTACAAAAAGATCAGGCCGGGTGCAGTGGCTCACGCCTTCAATCCCAACACTTTGGGAGGCCGAGGTGGGCAGATTACCTGAGGTCAGGAGTTCAAGACCAGCCTGACCAACATGGAGAAAGCCCGTCTCTGTTAAAAATACAAAATTAGTCGGGTGTGGTGGTGCGTGCCTGTAATCCCAGCTACTCGGGAGGCTGAGGCAGGAGAATCGCTTGAACCTGGGAGGCAGAGGTTGCCGTGAGCTGAAATCGCACCATTGAACTCCAGCCTGTGTAACAAGAGTGAAACTCCATCTAAAAAAAAAAAAAAAAAAATTCATCACCTAGGCACATAGTCATTAGGTTAGCTAAAGTCAAGATTAAGGAAAGAATCTTAAGAGCTGTGAGGAAAAGCATCAGGTAACCAAAAAGAAAACCCTATCAGATTAGCAGCAGATTTCTCAGCAGAAACCCCACAAGCTAGAAGAGATTGGGGTCCTATCTTTAGCCTCCTTAAATAAAATAATTATCAACCAAGAATTGTGTATCCAGCAAAACTAGGCTTTATAAATGAATGAGAGATAAAGTCTTTTTCAGACAAACAAATGCTAAGAGCATTCACCACTACCAAGCCAGCACTACAAGAGTTGCTAAAAGCAGTTCTAAATCTTGAAACAGAACCTCAAAATACACTAAAATACAACCTCTTTAAAGCATAAATCTCACAAGGCCTATAAAATAATAACACAATAAAAAAACAAGGTAATCAGGCAACAACTAGCACAATGAATAGAACAGTACCTCACATCTCAATACTAATGTTGAATGTAAATGGCCTAAATGTTGTACGTAAAAGATACAGAATGGATAAAAATCCACCAACCAAGTATTTGCTGAGACTCACTTAACACATAAGGACTCACATAAATTTAAGGTAAGGGAATGGAAAAAAATATTCCATGCACATGTACACCAAAAGCAAACAGGATTCTTATATCAGACAAAACAAACTTTAAAACAACCACAGTTCAAAAAGACAAAGAGGGACATTATATAATGATAAAAGGACTAGTCCAACAGGAAAATATCACAGTCCTAAATATATATCCACCTAACACTGGAGGTCCCAGATTTATAAAATGATTACTACTAGACTTAAGAAATGCGACAGACCGCAAGACAATAATAGTGGGGGACTTCAATACTCCACTGACAGCATTAGACAGGTCATTAAGACAGAAAGTCAACAAAGAAACAATGGACTTAAACTATACCCCAGAACAAATGGACTTAATATATATTTACAGAACATTCTACCCAACAACTGCAGAATATGCATTCTTTTCATCAGCACATGGAACATTCTCCTAGACCATATTGTAGGCCACAAAACAAGTCTCAATAAATTTAATACAATCTAAAATATATGAAATACTCTCTCAGACCAGAGTGGGACAAAATTGGAAGTTAACTCCAAAGAAACCCGCGAAACTATACAAATGCATGGAAATTAAATAATCTGCTTCTGAATGAACTTTGGGTCAACAATGAAATAAAGATGGAAATTAAAAATTAATTGAACTTCACGATAATAATGACACAACCTATCAAAACCTCTGAGATACAGAAAAAGTCATGCTGAGAAAAAAGTTCATAGTCTTAAATGCCTACATAAAAAAGTCTGAAGGGGCACAAATAGAAAATCTGAGCTCACATGCCAAGGAATTAGGGAAACAAGAATAAATTACACCCAAACCCAGCAGAAGAAAAGATTAAACCAGGAAGAAACAGAAAGACTGAACAGACCAATAACAAGTAGCAAGATTGAAACAGTAATTAAGAAATTGCCAACAACAACAACAACAACAACAACAACAACAAAAACTCCAGGACCAGATGGATTCACAGCTGAATTCTATCAGACATTAAAATAATTGGTACCAATCCTACTGAAACTGTTCCAAAAGGTAGAGAAAGAGGGAATCCTCCCTAAATCATTCTATGAAGCCAGTATCACCCAAATACCAAAACCAGGAAAGGACATAAAAAAAAAAAAAGAAAACTACAGACCGATACCTCTGATGAATATAGATGTAAAAATCCTCAACAAAATACAAGCTAACTGAATCCAACAGCGTATCAAAAAGATAATACACCATGGTCCAGTGGGTTTCATACCAGGGATGCAGGAATGGTTTAACATATGCAAGTCAGCAAATGTGATACACCACATAAAAAGAATTAAAACTAAAAATCATATGATCATCTCAATGGGGGCAGAAAAAGTATTTGAAAAAGTCCTGGATCTCTTCATGATAAAAAACCTTCAGCAAAATTGGCATAGAAGGAACAGACCTCAAGGTAATAAAAGCCATTTATGACAAACCCACAGCCAGTATCATACTAAATGGGGAAAAATTGAAAGCATTCCCAATGAGAACTGAAACAAGACAAGTATAAACACTTTCACCACTTCTATTCAACATAGTACTTGAAAGTCCTAGCCAGAGAAATCAGACAAGAGAAAGAAATAAAGGGCACCCAAATCGGAAATGAGGAAGTCAAACTGTTGCTGTTCACCAGTGATATGATAGTATACCTACAAAACTCTAAGGACTCATCCAAAAAGCTCCTAGATATGATAAATGAATTCAGTAAGGTTTCAGGATACAAAATCAATGTACACAAATCAGTGGCACTGATTGATCTTTTGAATGGTTTTCTTGTCTCAGTCTCCTTCAGTTCATCTCTGGTTTTGGTTATTTCCTGTTTTCTGCTAGCTTTGGGGTTGGTTTGCTCCTGGTTCTCTTTTTAGATGTGATGTTAGGTTTTTAACATGAGACCTTTCTAACTTTTTATCGTGGGCATTTACTGCTATAATTTCTTTCTTAACTTTGCCTTAGCTGTATCTCAGAGATTCTGGTATGTTGTGTCTTTGTTCTCATTAGTTTCAAATAACTTTTTGATTTTTGCCTTAATTTCATTATTAACCCAAAAGCCATTCAGGAGGAGATTATTTAATTTCCACATAACTATATGGGTTCAAGTGATTTTTCTTAGTCTCGATTTCTAATTTTATCATACTGTGGTCTGAGAGAGTGGTTGGTACGATATCAGTTCTTTTACATTTGCTGAGGATTGTTTTATGTCCAATGGTGTGGTCGATTTTAGAGAATGTGACATGCGGCAATTAGAAAAATATATATTCTGTTAGTTTTGGATGGAGAGGTCTGTAGATGTCTGTGAGGTCTATTTGGTCCAGTGCTGAATTCAGGTCCTGAATATCCAATTTTCTGCCTCAATTGTCTGTCTAATTCTGTCAGTAGGTATTGTAGTCTCCCATTATTATTATGTGGGAGTTTAAGTCTCTTTGTAGGTCTCTAAGAACCTGCTTTATGAATCTGGATGCTTCTGTATTGGCTGCATATATATTTAGGATAGTTAGGTCTTCTTGTTGAATTGAACCCTTTACTGTTATGTAGTTCCCTTCTTTGTCTGTTTTGATCTCTGTTGGTTTAAAGTCTGTTTTGTCTGAAATTAGGATTGCAGCCCCTGCTTTTTCTGTTTTTTTTTTTTTTTTATTTGCTTGGCAGATTTTTTCCATTGCTTTATTTTGAGCCTGTGTGTGTCACTGCATGTGAGATGGGTCTCTGGAAGATGGCATACCATTGGATCTTGCTTCTTTATTGAGCTTGCCACTCTGTGCCTTTTAAATTGGGGCATTTTGCCCATTTGCATTGAAGGTTAGTATTGATATGTGTGGATTTGATCCTGTCATCATGATGTGTTAGATGTTATTATGCAGACTTGTTCGTGTGGTTCCTTTATAGTGTCACTGGTCTGTGTATTTCAGTGTGTTTTTGTAGTGGCTGGTCTTTCCTTTCTATACTTACTGCTTCCCTCAGGAACTCTTTTAAGGAATGTCTGGTGGTGACAAATTTCCTCAGTATTTGCTTATCTGAAAAGAATCTTATTTTTCCTTTGCTTATTAAGCTTAGTTTGGCCGTATATGAGATTTTTGGTTGTTATTACTTTTCTTTAAGAATGTTGAATATTGGCCCCCAATCTCTTCTGGCTTGTAGGGTTTCTGCTGAGAGTTCCACTGTTAGTCTGATGTACGTGGCCTGACCTTTCTCTCCAGCTGCCTTTAAGATTTTTTTCTTTCATTTCAACCTTGGAGAAACTGATGATGTGTGTCTCAGGTAGATCTTGTGAAGTAACTTACTGGAGTTCTCTGCATTTCCTGAATTTCAATGTTAGCCTCTCTTGCTAGGTTGAGGACGTTCTCATGTATGACAACCCGAAATATGTTTTCCAAGTTGCTTCCATTCTTGCCATCTTTCAGGGACACCAGTGAGTCATAGATTTGGTCGCTTTACATAATGTCATATTTCTCGGAGGTTTTATTTTTTCCTTTTCATTCTTTTTTCTCTATTCTTTTCTGACTGTCTTAGAAAGCCAGTCTTCAAGCTCTGGAATTCTTTCTTCAGCTTGGTCTATTCTGGTATTCTACTTGGGATTGCATTATGACATTCTTGTAGTGTGTTTTTCAGCTCTATCAGGTCAGTTTCGTTCATTTCTATACTGGCTATTTTTTCTGTCAGCTCCTGTATCGTTTTACTGTGATCCTTAGTTTTCTTGGATTGGGTTTCAATTTACTGCTGCACCTTGATGATCTTTGTTCCTATCCATATTCTGAATTCTATTTCTGTAATTTCAGCCATCTCATCCCAGGTCAGAACCCTTGCTGGAGAGCTAGTGTGGTTGTTTGGAGGAAAGAAGGCACTCTGGCTTTTTGAGTTGTCAGAGACCTTGCACTGATTCTTTCTCATGTTTATGGGCTGATATTCCTTCCATCTTTAAAGTCGCTGTCCTCTAGATTTTTTTTTCTTTTCTCCTATTTGATGACCTTGAGAGTTTGATTATGGTGTAAGGTGGGTTCAGTCAGCTGACTTCATTTCTGGAAGATTGTAAGGGGCCAAGGCTCAGCTCACAACTCCTGAACTGCATGCTCTAACACTGGGGGACTGATATTGGGCCCCGACTTTGTTTTCTGGCTCTTTAAGTTTAAGAACACACTGTGATGGTGGGGGCCTATGTGCTCCCGACCTGCTGGTCCCAGAACGCCAATGGATGGTGCCAGCCAAGGTGTTTCGTAGGGTGGTGGCAGCAGGATCCATCCTTGTTCACATGTCCCAGCAGCAGCAGCAGTGGCAGCATGGCAGGGTTCATGCTTATCAGCTACAGCAGGATGCTAGCAGGTGCCAGTTTGCTGGCTTCCATGTGGGCATTCACAGAGGCAGCATGGCTTGGTCAGGGGGACCCTCCAGCAACTGCATGCAGTTGTGTTCATGGTGGTGTTACCATGAGGGCTAATATTTTTTAAAGCAAAACGTTGTACTATTTATTTTGAAAAAAAACATGGTAAAATATGTTATTTCTACCTTTCTTATTTCCAGTACACTTCAGATCAGCGATCCCCAATCTTTTTGGCACCAGGGACCAGTTTCCCGGAAGACAATATTTCTATTTATTGGGGGTAGGGCAGTCAGGTGGGGATTGTTTTAGGATGAAACTGTTCCACCTCAGATCATCAGGCATTAGATTCTCATAAGGAGCATGCAACCTCAATCTCTTGCATGTGTAGTTCACAATAGGGTTTGCATGCCTATGAGAATCTAATGCTGCCACTAATCTGAGAGGAGGCGGAACTTAGGTGTTAATGCCCCCTCAGTATGGGTCCATGGCCAGGAGGGTGGGGACCCCTGTTGTATATAACTCGTTGTCTAAAAATATTCATTTCATGAATTACATAAGTGATATGACATAGTGATTTAACCATGCAAATATGCACAGTCATAAAGCTGTAACTAACCAGGTACTTATAGGGTGGAGTTAATCTTATACTTATCCAGTGATATTACATATTGAAATTATAGTGAAGGGCTGGAGATTATCACAATTTGTACAGTGTTGTCTGTTGTGGAGTGCTTGATAATATTTAACTATTTGATGATGGTATGAACAACTTCAAATGACAAATTATTAAGTTATAATAATACTCTCAGGTATGTAAAGAATACTTTAAATAATTAGATATTATTTTTGTATTATTATCTAGGAAGGATAATTTCCTGGATTTAAAAACTTGATAATTTAAAGCTTAGCTTGTCTCCTCCTACTTTCAATTTATTCCATTTGAAAATATAATAAAGTCAATAATATGGTAAGTTTGTGATTATCACTGCCACATTTAGAAAATCGGATTATTATTCAGTGTTCTTCCTTTTCAGTGAGCATTTATCCATATTTGTTGCTTCTATTATATGGCTTGGTATTCTTTTTATGTTCGTTAAGCCATACCAGTATTTATTTCTATACTCTTAAGAATATGCCCATTAGCTGGATCTCTAGGAAATGTAGTTTTTATTCCCCCAATATAATTGTTGTTTATTTTCACCAGGTGAAAGTAATTCAAGCATATTCCTTTCCTATGGAAAAGGCTGAACTATAAAAGCTTTGTTTTAAAGGTAGATAAATTTTTAAAAGGTATTTATGATGAGAACAACAACGAAAATAACCAACAAAGGCAACAGTGAATTCTTTTCACATGACTAAACTATGGAGCACCCCTTTCTGTCAAAGATTTACAGAATGTATTGGGATTTCTAATTATATGCTCATGCCACAATTGTAACAACTTTGAAAGCTATAAGCTACTTTGTGCTAAACGTAAAAGTGGAGGTGGGGATGGGGTGAAGAAGAGGTAGCAAATATGTAGTCTCACGTCAACTTACTCAAATCTAATTGCTAAATCAGTTAGAAAAGGTTAACATAGACAATTCAAGAATGAATTCAACCTCTGCTTATTAGTTCCTGGTTGTGTGTGTGAGCTAGCTGAATAAAAAAAAAAACAGTGATGAATTTGCATGAAAAAGCATTAATTCTGTGGAAACTTCATCTAAGTCTTAGCTTCTGAGAAGTCATTACTTGCAAAAGTCAATCTTTCAAATGTACGTTCAGAGCAAAGTGCATCTGGACACCTTTCTAAATAGTTTAAGTTGGTTTAAAAGTCTCTTAGTTTTCTATTAAGTTGTTAACCTGTAGTCCATTTCTGCTTCCTAATTCCCCAGACTTTGGGAAACAATCTGAAAGAGAAGAATATGTAGATTGGGACAGGTATGGTAGTTCGCTTGTGGCTTTCCTAGACAAGGAAAGTTTAGGAAATGGTTAAAGCATTAAATAAAAAGTATCCATAAGTATTCATATTTAACAAGAACTATAGCAGAGATTTAGCCATAGGAAATTTGAGACAGGGAAAGGGAGAGTGACATTTATTGAACATAGCCTAAGTGATGGGCATTATACTTGGCTTTCCTCATGAATTTTATCCACAATTAGAGCTTGTATAGCATTAAGTTAAAAAGAGAGATTATTACAGAGGAGAAAAGATGAGAATGTCAACTCGGAGATTTGAAAAATAGGTGGGTGACAGAAGTAACTAGGGAGACTAAGAAAAAGTGAATCCTTAGAAAAAGAAAGGTGTCTCCTACCTGCACGGTTCTCTAACTTTTAGGGTTTATCTAGAAAATAATTGGGAAAAATGGGCAACCAAAATCATTTGACAGTTCTAGAGTTTAGCCTTTTGGAGACATCAACAATATTCATAGTAGGATATTCACCTAGAGTACTTTAACCTTCTTTTTTGAAAAATACTATAGATTACAACAAACCCTTCATACTATAATTTGTTTCAATATTTAATTTTTTTGACTTCAACTAGAAAGTATCTTGCCACTCTCCTTGATTCATCAACCCTTTAATTTAACCTTTTTATGAGTTTCAGCATTTAACTGGCCTTGATGTTATTAAGACAGAGCCATATCAGAAACATATGTAGAATTACTTCCTTAAATATAGAGATCATAATTGGGCATATTCTAGGACTTAGTATGCCATAACAAAAAGATGATTTTGTAGTGTTTTACATATGATTTGTTCGATTTAAAACAATAAAAGCATTGCTGCCGTTTCTGATACTTGTGGCCTAATATGACACACATACCCCTCTTACTCTTCATTCAGAGCTGCTCCTAAAGTACAATGAAATGAATTGAAGAGATTCCCACAAGTCTCTGTTAGAGAATCTGTGCTACTAGGAACATTGGATGAGAAGAGATTTACATATTTTATATATATATATATATATATATATATATATATATATATATATATATATATATATAATCTCCACATGGTTCAAATCCTTGTACTGTTATCCATATCTTTCTGGCCCTCTTTTGCGGACCTCTTTGCCTCTTTGATATGTTTTAACTTTCCCCAAGGCTGCCTTAGGTATGTGTTTTAACTTGATGCTACCTGGAAACAAATGGTGGGGAGGAATAGTAGACAGCACTCCCAATGTAAATGCCCCAGGCCTGGCCTGTACTCTACTGATCATCAACCTGTACTCTACCTGTCATCAACCATCCCATATTTGTGCAATTTGATCTGATTACATCTCATTTTGTTGTCTCTGACTACTTCTTTGATCTCCCAAGGTTCTTTTTGTTTCTCCGAGGCATTTCTGTTTATGGTGCCTTCTGTAAACTTAGTTTATCTGGCAAATGAGTTCCAGTGTTTACCCGGCCTTGATCAGGTTGAGGAGGCCTCATATCAGTATCAAAATCATATGCAGAATTCTGCTAAGGTTGGAGTCCTGATGAACGCCTCTGTTCTCTGGCACATTTGAAAAACAACAACGACATAGGATAGAGCATTTGCTTAATTGGTTATAAATCTTTTTCTTTGATAAACTGTTTTGCGACAATACGGAATGAATGCTCCCATTTTCAGACTATACCCAAGAGAAAGCAATAAGAATGGTGACCTTTTTTAACGTTTTCCATGTTCAAAGTGGTTTACTTAAGATTGTCTGATTCATCCAACATTTTATTATAAAAACGCTAAAACTTATAGCAAAGCTGAAAGAATTTTACAGTTAATGCCCATGTATCTACCAACTTAATTATACCATTAAAATTTTAATATACTTTCTTTAATATATATCTGTCCATCTATTCATTCCTTTATCTATCCATTAGTACACCTTATTTTTTGAAACACCCAAAAGTAAATTGCAGACATCAGTATATTTCACAAAAATATTACATTATTTTATTTAAATATTTACAAAAAGCCTGCAAGGTAGGTAATTTTAACTTCATTTTGTGGATAAGAAGCCCAACTCTAAGAAATTTTAAGAAAGTGCCCCTAGGCCACATAGTCAGTGATTTATGGGGCAGGGAATTGAGTCTCATTCTGTCTGGCACCATGGCCCCTATTTTTTTCACTACACTAAAGAATCTCCCAGAGTATATTTAAAGTTACTTTGTCAATTCACAAATCAGGAAATGGCAGAGGGAGAATAAAATGGAGCTCAAACTAAACTGCATTTTAATTGGAAGAAAATAAAGCAGCTTAATTATTTACCCAAAAAGCATGTAAATAACCCCAAGTGCTTGAGATTTATTATAAATCTTTCCGTTTTACTTTTGCTTCTCAATACAATTTTTCATTAATTATTTCATTTGAATCTCACAAGTATAGGGAAGTAAGATATGTATCATCCTTCTCCCTACTTCTAAAGGAGGAAATAGGGGCTAAGTGATCACCTCAAAGTTATACCCAATTAGAGGAAGAGAAAGATTGGAATACAAATCCAGTGTTCTAGAAAACCTTGGAGTAGGAAAGCTATGGAGAATAGTTCAAAAGTGACATGTTTACAGGTGTGATTTCTAATCATAATGCTTCTTTAACATCTCAGGGGGTTTCCAACCTCTGTCAAATGGTGATATGGAATTCTCCACAGTAATTTAAATTTTTAAAAATTAATGTTTAGCATTGATTTTATGCCTATATATACATGTATACCACATGATGCTTGAAAGGATACGGAATTATGGTGCAAAATTTAGGATTTTGAAATGACAAAAAGGTTGGAGAGTTTATCTCATTCCTCCCAGAGACAAATATCTGAGGCTGTTCAAATTGCTGATTTTATTACAATTTATAAGCCCATTCTTCCAATTTTAAAGTAATATTTCAAACTACCTTTATACTGCATAGAGGGTAACATTATCTTGTCACTGGGGAATTATAATTTAATGTAGATGCTAATTCGAATTTACCAATATAAAATTTATGAGATTTTACTATACTGTTATTTACCCCTCATACCTCTCATTCAGAGACAGTGCAAAGTATAAAGGAAACAGTTTGCTTTTAAACAAATAAGTGAAGGGAATATAGCATGGCTTTACAGCTTTCTAAGCACTATTTTATCTCATTAGATTCCATTAATATAGTCTGGAGTTAAGAGTTTAGGTCTAGTGGCCAGATGGCCAGACTGCCTGGGTTCAGAGTTAGGCCTGTAACCTTGGCTAAGTTATTTGATCTTTTTGTGCCTCAGTAATCTCATCAAGACTTTATAGGGTGGTGAGTCTTAAATGAGTTGATAGGTGTGAAACATTTATAATTCAGCCTGACACACATAATAAACTCTCAATAAACGATTGCTGCTTTAAGTATCATTCCACCATCTCTGTGAGGTGGGTAGATCTGATTATAACAATTTCTATATTATAGATTAGGAACATGAAGCCCAATGATGTGAAGAGATTTACCCAAGACAGATTCAGATTAGAGCAAGTCTATTGGATTCCTCTTTCCATTTATCTGGCATTGTTGCTGGGATTAGGGAGTGAGTGGGAGGTAATGGTACGCCGTCTCCCACCCCCAACCAACACACACTATTAGGACAGTATATGGGGGTGCACACAAATACTGACCCTTGGTGGGAAGGAAAACACTGAAGTAGGACAGTTATCTGGTGAATTACACTTGGCTTCTGTCTGGGGAAGTGACTTTCCAGTTTTTACTTTATCCAAATCCTGAACAAAATATGTCTGGTGTGGCAGTGTTAATCTGACTTTTGTTAGAATTTAATTACGATGTTGATGAATGTGGAAGAGAACATACCACCTGTATGTAATATGCATGATAAATTATATTCATTATTTCTGGATTCATTTGCTGATCTCACAAGAGATTTGCCATCATTCTCAAGGTATTTAGAAATTTCTTACTAGTGGTCAGCTATATTCTTCTTTGACTTCTTTTTACAGCAGTACATAGTCTGGATTGTTACACCAACTATTAAAGCCAATCGTATTCCAAGCAATGACACTACTAAAATCAGATCCAGAGTACTCCAGAGTTGGTCACATTTGGTCCCCATGTACCCATAATTTTTCCACTGACTTCTGAAATTTGGACATCTACATAGAGAGAAATAGAAAAAGCTCACATATTAGGAAAAAACAAATGGTGTCCCTTGAATGAATCAAACATTTCATTGTTACTCAACCATCACATTTCTCCTTAAGACCTTCAAGAGTTTTATGTTGTCCCATTTCCCACCTGAGCAAGCACTCTAAAGCCTACAGGTTTTAACACACTGAGTCAGCATGCAGAAGGCTGACAAGATTTCCCAATCATTAGGCAATGAAGATGTGGCACGTATGAAGAAAAATAAGGCTCATCCACAAGGGCTGTCTCAAGACTGTTTTTTAAATTGTCAGCATTTTGCCTACGGCTTATACCTGTATTCACTTTGGCTACACTAGTTCTATCACTGCTCTGAAGAGGTTGAAGAGGCCTAGGCTTCCAGTTCCATACCTGCAACCTGAGTGTTTCCTCGCACCTACTCCTACAGCAATGAATGTAGGTTAACAGACTAACTTGGCCAGTCTGTAGCAAATGCAAGAAGAAATATGAAAAGATGAGAAAAGACTGCCAGCAAAATCTACCTGCCCCCATCTTTCCCACGATTCCAGATTTTCCTCCTATATTTTATAGAAATAAATGACTCATATATGAACTTCTAGTGTTTTTATAAAACCTTGAGACCCTGCCAAATAATATGAATGTGGTTCTCTGATGCATATACTGAAAACTGAGATGGCATACATCACATAGAAATGTCGATGTATTTTTTTTTAATTTTTATTTTATTTTTATTTATTTTTATTATTATACTTTAAGTTTTAGGGTATATATGCACAATGTGCAGGTTAGTTACATATGTATACATGTGCCATGCTGGTGTGCTGCACCCATTAACTCATCATTTAGCATTAGCTATATCTCCTAATGCTATCCCTCCCCACTACCCCCACCCCACAACAGTCCCCAGAGTGAGATATTCCCCTTCCTGTGTCCATGTGTTCTCATTGTTCAATTCCCACCTATGAGTGAGAACATGCGGTGTTTGCTTTTTTGTCCTTGTGAAAGTTTACTGAGAATGATGATTTCCAATTTCATCCATGCCCCTAGAAAGGACATGAACTCATCATTTTTTATGGCTGCATAGTATTCCATGGTGTATATGTGCCACATTTTCTTAATCCAGTCTATCATTGTTGGACATTTGGGTTGGTTCCAAGTCTTTGCTATTGTGAATAGTGCCGCAATAAACATACGTGTGCATGTGTCTTTAAAGCAGCATGATTTATAGTCCTTTGGGTATACACCCAGTAATGGGATGGCTGGGTCAAATGGTATTTCTAGTTCTAGATCCCTGAGGAATCGCCACACTGACTTCCACAATGGTTGAACTAGTTTACAATCCCACCAACAGTGTAAAAGTGTTCCTATATCTCCACATCCTCTCCAGCACCTGTTGTTTCCTGACTTTTTAATGATTGCCATTCTAACTGGTGTGAGATGGTATCTCATTGTGGTTTTGATTTGCATTTCTCTGATGGCCAGTGATGGTGAGCATTTTTTTATGTGTCTTTTGGCTGCATAAATGTCTTCTTTTGAGAAGTGTCTGTTCATATCCTTCGCCCACATTTTGATGGGATTGTTTGTTTTTTTCTTGTAAATTTGTTTGAGTTCATTGTAGATTCTGGATATTAGCCCTTTGTCAGATGAGTAGGTTGCGAAAATTTTCTCCCATTTTGTAGGTTGCCTGTTCACTCTGATGGTAGTTTCTTTTGCTGTGCAGAAGCTCTTTAGTTTAATTAGATCCCATTTGTCAATTTTGGCTTTTGTTGCCATTGTTTTTGGTGTTTTATACTTGAAGTCCTTGCCCATGCCTATGTCCTGAATGGTATTGCCTAGGTTTTCT
Source organism: Homo sapiens (assembly GCF_000001405.40). Taxonomy (NCBI): domain Eukaryota; kingdom Metazoa; phylum Chordata; class Mammalia; order Primates; family Hominidae; genus Homo; species Homo sapiens. The sequence goes on along the minus strand of NC_000023.11, from coordinate 85,151,867 downwards.
TCTAGGGTTTTTATGGTTTTAGGTCTAACATTTAAGTATTTAATCATCTTGAATTGATTTTTGTATAAGGTGTAAGGAAGGGATCCAGTTTCAGCTTTCTACATATGGCTAGCCAGTTTTCCCAGCACCATTTATTAAATAGGGAATTCTTTCCCCATTGCTTGTTTTTCTCAGGTTTGTCAAAGATCAGATGGTTGTAGATATGCGGCATTATTTCTGAGGGCTCTGTTCTGTTCCATTGGTCTATATCTCTGTTTTGGTACCGGTACCATGCTGTTTTGGTTACTGTAGCCTTGTAGTATAGTTTGAAGTCAGGTAGCATGATGCCTCCAGCTTTGTTCTTTTGGCTTAGGATTGACTTGGCAATGCAGGCTCCTTTTTGGTTCCATATGAACTTTAAAGTAGTTTTTTTGAATTCGGTGAAGAAAGTCATTGGTAGGTTGATGGGAATGGCATTGAACCTATAAATTACCTTGGGCAGTATGGCCATTTTCATGATATTGATTCTTCCTACCCATGAGCATGGAATGTTCTTCCATTTGTTTGTATCCTTTTTTATTTCCTTGAGCACCGGTTTGTAGTTCTCCTTGAAGAGGTCCTTCACATCCCTTGTAAGTTGGATTCCTAGGTATTTTATTCTCTTTGAAGCAATTGTGAATGGGAGTTCACTCATGATTTGGCTCTCCGTTTGTCTGTTATTGGTGTATAAGAATGCTTGTGATTTTTGTACATTGATTTTGTATCCTGAGACTTTGCTGAAGTTGCTTATCAGCTTAAGGAGATTTTGGGCTGAGACAATGGGGTTTTCTAGATATACAATCATGTCATCTGCAAACAGGGACAATTTGACTTCCTCTTTTCCTAATTGAATGCCCTTTATTTCCTTCTCCTGCCTGATTACCCTGGCCGGAACTTCCAACACTGTGTTGAATAGGAGCGGTGAGAGAGGGCATCCCTGTCTTGTGCCAGTTTTCAAAGGGAATGCTTCCAGTATTTGTCCATTCAGTATGATATTGGCTGTGGGTTTGTCATAGATAGCTCTTATTATTTTGAGATACGTCCCATCAATACCTAATTTATTGAGAGTTTTTAGCATGAAGGGTTGTTGAATTTTGTCAAACGCCTTTTCTGCATCTATTGAGATAATCATGTGGTTTTTGTCTTTGGTTCTGTTTATATGCTGGATTATGTTTATTGATTTTCATATGTTGAACCAGCCTTGCATCCCAGGGATGAAGCCCACTTGATCATGGTGGATAAGCTTCTTGATGAGCTGCTGGATTCAGTTTGCCAGTATTTTATTGAGGATTTTTGCATCAATGTTCATCAAGGATATTGGTCTAAAATTCTCTTTTTTGGTTGTGTCTCTGCCCGGCTTTGGTATCAGGATGATGCTGGCCTCATAAAATGAGTTAGGGAGGATTCCCTCTTTTTCTATTGATTGGAATAGTTTCAGAAGGAATGGTACCAGTTCCTCCTTGTACCTCTGGTAGAATTCGGCTGTGAATCCATCTGGTCCTGGACTCTTTTTGGTTGGTAAGCTATTGATTATTGCCACAATTTCAGAGCCTATTATTCATCTATTCAGAGATTCTGCTTCTTCCTGGTTTATTCTTGGGAGAGTGTATGTGTCGAGGAATTTATCCATTTCTTCTAGATTTTCTAGTTTATTTGCATAGAGGTGTTTTTAGTATTCTCTGATGGTAGTTTGTATTTCTGGGGGATCGGTGGTGATATCCCCTTTATCATTTTTTATTGCATCTATTTCATTCTTCTCTCTTTTCTTCTTTATTAGTCTTGCCAGCAGTCTATCAATTTTGTTGATCCTTTCAAAAAACCAGATCCTGGATTCATTAATTTTTTGAAGGGTTTTTTGTATTTCTATTTCTTTCAGTTCTGCTCTGATTTTAGTTATTTCTTGCCTTCTGCTAGCTTTTGAATGTGTTCGCTCTTGCTTTTCTAGTTCTTTTAATTGTGATGTTAGGGTGTCAATTTTAGATCTTTCCTGCTTTCTCTTGTGGGCATTTAGTGCTATAAATTTCCCTCTACATACTGCTTTGAATGTGTCCCAGAGATTCTGGTATGTTGTGTCTTTGTTCTCGTTGGTTTCAAAGAACATCTTTATTTCTGCCTTCATTTCGTTGTGTACCCAGTAGTCATTCAGGAGCAGGTTGTTCAGTTTCCATGTAGTTGAGTGGTTTTGAGTGAGTTTCTTAATCCTGAGTTCTAATTTGATTGCACTGTGGTCTGAGAGACAGTTTGTTATAATTTCTGTTCTTTTACATTTGCTGAGGAGAGCTTTACTTCCAACTATGTGGTCAATTTTGGAATAGGTGTGGTGTGTTGTTGAAAAAATGTATATTCTGTTGATTTGGGGTGAAGAGTTCTGTAGATGTATAATAGGTCCGCTTGATGCAGAGCTGAGTTCAATTCCTGGATATCCTTGTTAACTTTCTGTCTCATTGATCTGTCTAATGTTGACAGTGGGGTGTTAAAGTCTCCCATTATTATTGTATGGGAGTCTAAGACTCTTTGTAGGTCACTCAGGACTTGCTTTATGAATCTGGGTGCTCCTGTATTGGGTGCATATATATTTAGGATAGTTAGTTCTTCTTGTTGAATTGATCCCTTTACCATTATGTAATGGCCTTCTTTGTCTCTTTTGATCTTTGTTGGTTTAAAGTCTGTTTTATCAGAGACTAGGATTGCAACCTCTCCCTTTTTTGTTTTCCATTTGCTTGGTAGATCCTCCTCCATCCTTTTATTTTGAGCCTATGTGTGTCTCTGCACGTGAGATGGGTTTCCTGAATACAGCACACTGATGGGTCTTGACTCTTTATGCCATTTGCCAGTCTGTGTCTTTTCATTGGAGCATTTAGTCCATTTACATTTAAAGTTAATATTGTTATGTGTGAATTTGATCCTGTCATTATGATGTTAGCTGGTTATTTTGCTCGTTAGTTGATGCAGTTTCTTCCTAGTCTCGATGGCCTTTACAATTTGGCATGATTTTGCAGTGGCTGGTACCAGTTGTTCCTTTCCATGTTTAGTGCTTCCTTCAGGAGCTCTTTTAGGGCAGGCCTGGTGGTGACAAAATCACTCAGCATTTGCTTGTCTGTAAAGGACTTTATTTCTCCTTCACTTATGAAGCTTAGTTTGGCTGCATATGAAATTCTGGGTTGAAAATTCTTTTCTTTAAGAATGTTGAATATTGGCCTCCACTCTCTTCTGGCTTGTAGAGTTTTTGCCGAGAGATCCGCTGTTAGTCTGATGGGCTTCCCTTTGTGGGTAACCCGACCTTTCTCTCTGGCTGCCCTTAACATTTTTTCCTTCATTTCAACTTTGGTGAATCTGACAATTATGTGTCTTGGAGTTGCTCTTCTCGAGGAATATCTTTGTGGCATTCTCTGTATTTCCTGAATCTGAATGTTGGCCTGCCTTGCTAGATTGGGGAAGTTCTCCTGGATAATATCCTGCAGAGTGTTTTCCAACTTGGTTCCATTCTCCCCGTCACTTTCAGGTACACCACTCAGACGTAGATTTGGTCTTTTCACATAGTCCCATATTTCCTGGAGGCTTTGTTCATTTCTTTTTTCTCTAAACTTCCCTTCTGGCTTCCTTTCATTCATTTCATCTTCCATCACTGATACCCTTTCTTCCAGTTGATTGCATTGGCTCCTGAGGCTTCTGCATTCTTCACGTAGTTCTCGAGCCTTGGCTTTCAGCTCCATCAGCTCCTTTAAGCACTTCTCTGTATTGGTTATTCTAGTTATACATTCTTCTAAATTTTTTTCAAAGTTTTTAACTTCTTTGCCTTTGGTTTGAATTTCCTCCTGTAGCTTGGAGTAGTTTGATCGTCTGAAGCCTTCTTCTCTCAACTCATCAAAGTCATTCTCCGTCCAACTCTGTTCCATTGCTGGTGAGGATCTGCGTTCCTTTGAAGGAGGAGAGGTGCTCTGCTTTTTAGAGTTTCCAGTTTTTCTGCTCTGTTTTTTCCCCATCTTTGTGGTTTTAATCTACTTTTGGTCTTTGATGATGGTGATGTACAGATGGGTTTTTGGTGTGGATGTCCTTTCTGTTTGTTAGTTTCCCTTCTAACAGACAGGACCCTCAGCTGCAGGTCTGTTGGAGTTTGCTAGAGGTCCACTCCAGACCCTGTTTCCCTGGGTATCAGCAGCGGTGGCTGCAGAACAGCAGATTTTCGTGAATCGCGAATGCTCCTGTCTGATCGTTCCTCTGGAAGTTTTGTCTCAGAGGAGTACCTGGCTGTGTGAGGTGTCAGTCTGCCCCTACTGGGGGGTGCCTCCTAGTTAGGCTGCTCGGGGGTCAGGGGTCAGGGACCCACTTGAGGAGGCAGTCTGCCCATTCTCAGATCTCCAGCTGCATGCTGGGAGAACCACTGCTCTCTTCAAAGCTGTCAGACAGGGACATTTAAGTCTGCAGAGGTTACTGCTGTCTTTTTGTTTGTCTGTGCCCTGCCCCCAGAGGTGGAGCCTACAGAGTCAGGCAGGCCTCCTTGAGCTGTGGTGGGCTCCACCCAGTTGGAGCTTCCCAGCTGCTTTGTTTACCTAAGCAAGCCTGGGCAATGGCGGGCACCCCTCCCCCAGCCTTGCTGTCGCCTTTCAGTTTGATCTCAGACTGCTGTGCTAGCAATCAGCAAGACTCCGTGGGCGTAGGACCCTCTGAGCCAGGTGTGGGATATAATCTCCTGGTGTGCCATTTTTTAAGCCCGTCGGAAAAGCACAGTATTAGGGTGGGAGTGACCCGATTTTCCAGGTGCCGTCCATCACCCCTTTCTTTGACTAGGAAAGGGAACTACCTGACCCCTTGTGCTTCCCAAGTGAGGCAATGCCTCGCTCTGCTTTGGCTCTCGCACGGTGCGCTGCACCCACTGTCCTGCGCCCACTGTCTGGTACTCCCTAGTGAGATGAACCCGGTACCTCAGATGGAAATGCAGAAATCACCCATCTTCTGTGTCACTCATGCTGGGAGCTGTAGACCGGAGTTGTTCCTATTCGGCCATCTTGGTTGCCAGCCAGAAATGTCCATGTATTTATGGAGAGGGAGAATATGACTTTCCCAAATTCCCCAATGGGAGTGACTACTGGCAAGAATTGTTCATATAGTATCTTTAGAGAGTGCTTCATTGCCTCCTGCAGAATTTTTGTCAGGTTACCCCATCGAACAGTAAATGTCAGATCCTAAGTAAGGTACTCCTAGTATGTGTTATTCCAATAAACAGTAGTCCCCACTTATTCACAGGTGATAGATTCCAGGACTCCCAGTGGATACTTGAAATTGCAGATAGTACTGAACCCTATATGCACTATGATTTTTCCTATACATACATACCTATGATAAAGTTTATTTTTTTAAATTTTTAATTTTTGTGGGCACATAGGAGGTGTATGTATTTATAGAGTACATGAGCTATTCTGATACAGGAATGCAATCCATATTCATCATATCAGGGTAAATGGGGTGTCCATCACCTCAAGCATTTATCCTTTCTTTGTGTTACCAATAATCTAATTATACTCTTAATTATTTTTAAATGGACAATAAATTATCATTGGCTGTAGTCATCCTGTTAATTTATAAATTGGACATAGTAAGAGATTAACAAGAATAACAATTGGTAAAATAGAGTAATTATAAGAATATACTGTAGGCCGGGCACAGTGGCTCAGGCCTGTAATCCCAGCACTTTGGGAGGCCGAGGCAGGCAGATCACAAGGTCAGGAGAACGAGATCAGCCTGGCTAACACACAGTGAAACCCCATCTCTACTAAAAGTACAAAAAAATTGCCGGGCGTGGTGGCGGGCGCCTGTAGTCCCAACTGCTCAGGAGGCTGAGGCAGGAGAATGGTGTGAACCCGGGAGGCGGAGCTTGCAGTGAGCCGAGATCGTGCCACTGCACTCCAGCCCAGGCGACAGAGCGAGACTCTGTCTCAAAAAAAAAAAAAAAGAATATACTGTAATAAATGTTATGTGAATGTGGTCTCTTACAAAATATCTTACTGTATGTAGTATGTTCAGATCGTGGTACCACAGGTAACTGAAACCACAGAAAGTGAAACTGCAAATAAGGGGGACTACTATATTATGGCATACTGTCATAGCTGACATGAAAAGATCGGTTAGGTGATTACTATAATCTTTCATAGCTATGACTGTCTAGGATTCTGTAAGAAAATGTGTCTACCACATTTTGAAGCTGTCTACCAGCTTCAAATAGGTGGTACTCTACTTAAAAGGATGTGGCTTTTAATATGTAATACACTGTCATTTATTGGAGGCCAAAGTATATTTTTCAAATATATCTTATTCATACTCATAGATTTCTTCCTGGAAAAGGACTTTCACAAGAGTATATTTCTCATTTAGCCTAGGAATGAATCACAAAAAAATGGCCTATTATACAGTAATATTTCACTCATTCAACAAGATTTATTGGGCACCTAGTATGTGCCAAGTACTATTCCAGTTATTTGATAGGTAATCATGGTTAAAACAAAGATCTATGTTTTTAAATAGCTTACAATATACAAGAGAAAGACAGACATAAAAATAAGCATAATTAGTAAATTTGACAAGATGCACAGTACCCAAAGATAGGGTCAACATAAATACTGGGTTGCTAGGACATTTCCAGTTTATGCCTGTTGTCCCAGAATAATTATTAATAATGCTCTCTTCATTCCCAATGTGCACTAATTTAGACAGATAGATTAAATAGTCACTCTACTAGTAGGCCACTAAGGGTAGCAGGCAGCTCAGCCACATCTCTTGCTCTCTTTTTTATTTTATTTTATTTATTTTATTTTTTTTTGAGACAGGGCCTAGCTCTGTCACCCAGGCTGGATTGCAATGGTGCAATCACGGCTCATGCAGCATCTACCTCCCAGACTCAAGTAATCCTCCCACTTCAGCCCCCCAAGTACCTGGGATTATAGTTGTGCACCACCACACTTGGCTCTTTTATTTTTATTATTTTATATTTTGAAGAGACTGGGTCTCACTGTGTTGCCCAGGCTGGTCTTGAACTTCTGAGCTCAAGAGACCCAGCCGTCTCAGCCTCCTGAGTAGCTGGGATTACAGGCATATGCCACTGCACCCAGACAGCCCCAACTCTTAATGATGTTTTGATAATTTCAAGAAAACTGTGGAGAGTCATTTTGCCCAGGATATAGCTGCAGTGTCTCCTCCCTGATCTGAACTGAGAAAAAGTTTTCTAAAGTCTGAAACTCAGTAGGAACCTTTCTTACGAGTCAAGTCACAGGACCTATAAACATGCACAGAAACTGCAATTCCAAGAAAAGGAAAACTATTTTAACCTTCCTCCAGCCTAAACACAAAGAAGAGATTCCATGGAGTCAGAGTTCAGATTGTCTGAATCCCAGGTCTCTGAGTATCCGAGTATGTTTGGGGATGGAGGTGATAGGCAAGAAGGGGAAGCTTCTTTGATGAGATTAGGTACATAGAATCCAAAAGGAAGCTGTTTGCCCTTTGTAGAGCGTATTTTTTTCCTAATGTAAAATATGACACACTGATTCTACTACATAAACATATTGCTAAAAGGAGTGAAAAGGCAACATCAGAAAATATAACACAGTTTTTAGGTAAAAACATAGTACAGTACTTTAAAAGTTTGACTTACACCTTTAAATATGGAAACAACTTCACTGGGCCAAAATGCTCCACTGAACATTCAACTACCCAACATTCCAAAAGTGCCCACCAGAATTACTATGTCAAATGGTGCTGTTTAGAGAAATTTAAGTCACATCTGTTTTCAATAGCCAATATTTAGAAAAAAAAAGTTGTACTTCTTGGCTTGGCAAAGATTTTATGCTGTTTCATAGACAGGTATGATTATACCACTTATTTCTTTGGCCATTTCTTTCCTTTTACATGGATTCGCATGGTTTTTATTATATCATGTAAGTACATATTTGTATTGAATACATTGCCGATTGAAAATTTTCTTAAAAATCTGGTACAACATTTATATATTCTAAGAAACAGTGTTAAATATAAGTAGCCTAAAACAATTACTAATATTGACACAAGTAAAAATTTTAGTTACTGGTCCATAGAATTTTTCATATTTATCTCAGAGATCAGAGACAAACATGTTATCTTTAAGAGGAAATAATTATTTATCTCTTCTAAAAATAATCACCTTTTAAAAAAACAGATACTTTCAGGTTTGTGAATTTTAAACAACAGAACCTTTGCTTGTAATACTGTCTAGTTCCTTAGCCTTAGATACTACAAAGCATTGATTCCCTCTCTAATTAAAGCATAATTAATTATTTATACCTTTAACCTATAGAAATAAAGCAACTAAAATTTTTCTTACGTTATTCACAACGTACAGTCAGAAAACACCAAGAGATGAACAGAATTCAAGACAGTATAAACAAGCGATCCACCATCATGAGAGTAAGATAGAAGAAGGCAGTCTTGACAACTACATTTAAAGACTGCTGCAATTAGGAGAGGCAATCAGCAGAGATTGTGAATGGTTTATATAGGAGATAAGGGACCATGGATTTTGAACTTGTTCTTTACAGCATGTATAAATTACCAGTTAACTTTTTGGTTGTACACTTGTCAGATCCCCATATCTATACTTCCTGTATATGGAACATGCACGAATTGTGTATGAGTTGTATACCACTTGAGTTCAGTCATAGCCATTTATTATTTCCAAGAACTATTTGTTCATCTTTGTACTAAGGTTCATGTTTTATTATTTGCCAAAGTTAAACCTTTGCTTGAAACATATTGCTACTAATACATTTTCCAACCCTGCTCATAACCAGAGATCTCTGACCTTACAGCCACCAAGAGTGCTGAACAATCATCTGAGGACATCATTGGGTATCACTGGCAAAGAGAAGAGATGAAGAAAAGATAAGAGAAAGAAATGAAAGTGGAAGAGGGCAGAAAAAGATAAACAAAAGTTAGGAGAGTTTTCAGGAGGAGAAAATAAAGAGAAGACAGAGAAGGAAGTATCTGGTAAGGAAACAAATACAGATGTAATCCAGTTGGGATACCAGGCTTTCATTAGGATATTTTCTCTCTTTTTCTCCTTAGATCCACATTTGTCAGGACGCCAATTCACCTAATCATATCTGCCATATATTTTCCATCTAAGTCACCTTGACAAGCTATCATTAACCTTGTAGCCCATGTGTGTCTCAGAATCCACTCTTCTCCCCACCTACTGGCATGTGTATTTATTTTTATGTAAGTATTTCTGCTGGAATGTATCTATTATTGTACTTTATTCACCATTCTTCCTTTCTTGCCACTAATAAAATTGCAGTTTCATGAGAGCTTCAGGTTGAACTTTCATGCCACCTGTTAATACAGATAATTTTTTATCTACCCAGCTTACCTTGACCTGGTATAATTTGTTTGCTTTCAACAACTCTACTTCAATTTTTTTTTTTTTTTTTTTGAGATGGAGTCTCGCTCTGTCACCCAGGCTGGAGTGCAGTGGTGTGATCTCGGCTCACTGCAAACTCTTCCTCCCGGGTTCACGCCATTCTCCTGCCTCAGCCTCCTGAGTAGCTGGGACTACAGGTGCCCGCCACCACGCCTGGCTAATTTTTTGTATTTTTAGTAGAGACGGGGTTTCATCGTGTTAGCCAGGATGGTCTCGATCTCCTAACCTCGTGTTCCACCCGCCTCAGCCTCCCAAAGTGCTGGGATTACAGGCGTGAGCCACCGTGACCGGCCTCTACTTCAATTTCTAAAAAATGATCTCCTTGTTTTATAATATCATAGCAATAAAGTATGTACTTAATATTATTAGGTTGGTGCCAAAGTAATTGCAGTTTTTGCAATTATTTTTAATGGCAAAACAGCAATTACTTTGGCACCAACCTAATATTAGTACAATATTATGAAAATATACATGCACATTTTTGGAAAACAGGCATTTTTGTTTATTTGTTTTCATTATGGTAAGAGACAAATAATTATTTGAGTTTTTAGTAAGAAATAAGATACAAAAGGTTATAAATCATAGATAGACTCTAATTCTTTATCTAAGCTCCACATGAATTCCCTCTACAAAAATCCATTGGTTTTTGACAGGAGGCTGAGTATCTCTTGATTCAGAATTTATATGTTATTATTGTAATTATTATTGTTGTTATTGTAAACTGAAGCACTCTACTTAAACATTTTGGTGATATGTGTTTCAAACCTTCTGGAAACAACCAGCTCTGTCAGAAATATACTTCTTTCTATTAAACCAAATTCTATTTTCCTGAAACTTCCAGCCAATATGGAGCAAATTCACTGTGACACACTTAGAAAGTCCTACCATATGGTGAGACTTCAGAAATACAGTAGCATCAAGACTATCAGACTGACAAGTCATAGGAAGGCAACATTTCAGCTTACACATCCAATATACTATGGGTGTAGTTAATATTGCCTTTCTTCATCTATATCCTTTCTAAGACATTAAGGTTAGCTGTAAATTATCTATGTGAAGCACATAATGGTGGTTACCTATCTAACAACATATTGCCCAATAAACACCTTTCTTCTCCCAACAGAGGCTGGGAGTGTTAATTACTGTTATCTCAGCCTGTCTTGCAGCTAGGAGTGGCCACATGGAACAATTCTAGCCAATGAGACATAAGGGGAAGTTTGCTGGGGTTTCTCAGAAAGTTTCTTCAGTAAAAAAGGAAAGGGCAGCCTTCCCTTGCAGCCCCTTTCTGCCTGCTTTGCATACAGCTGTGTCATGATGTGATGCTTGGAATGGCTGCAGTCATCTTGCAACTCTGAGAAGAATCATCCCAATAAACTGGAGGTTCCAGAGCGGAAAGATGGGGAAAAAAATAGGGTCCTTGATAACCTCAGTGAACTAATGAATCAAGCCTGGGACTGCCTAACTTAAGACTTCTTGTTATGTGAGATTTATTAATAAATCTTTGCTGTTTAAAATATGTTTAGTTGGGTGTTCTCTTACTTGCAGCCAAAAGTATTCTGACAAACCATGTTAATTAAAGGGACAATAATATGGAACAACCAAAATGCCTTTGAAAAAAATTCTAGGGATATAACGTAAATATTCTGTATTGTACACATTGGGAACAGTAGCTAGCAACCTGTTAATCTGATGCATGAAACAGGACACAATTAAATCCAAGAAGGTTAACAATGGATTCTAAATTTTGAATTGATTGTATAAGGGGGAATTCAGTGTGGACTGCAATTAAAGTATAATCAGATATAATAGATAAGTGTATTTAAATAATTCATTAAAACTAATCTTATAATAACAAGAGTCCATCCAGATGAACTAGGATATATTTGTCTGATCTACATATGGCCAAACATATTTCAAAGGGAGAAAAAAATTACCTTAATTCTGCCACTTGCTAACTGTGTGGCCTTGGGAAGGTTACCTAATCTCTCTGTGCTTCAGTTTCCTCTTTTGAAAAGTAGAAATTAAAATATAATACCACCCTCTTAGGGTTGTTATGGGGATTAGACAAGTAAAACATTTACCTGGCACATAGTAAGTGCTCAGTAAGTGTGGTTACTATTATTATTTATTATTTTATCACATAAACATAGTTCAAATAAAAACTCAGAACAAAATGTGGTCATTTAGGTGAGCAGGACATGACACAATTTTAGCTTTCATCCTTGAATGAGTTGGAAAAAATCAGGCAAGAAATGTGTAGATTGTTAATGGAAGTAGGGGTTAATTTAAAAGTATTAGATTGGTTCAAATGTAATTGCTGTTTTTGCCATTAATATACCAATCTAATAGTTTGGATTTCAGTTCAAAAACATAACAAGCTAATAGCAGTTACATTTAGGAGGATAGTGACTGAGAGTTGGCAAGAAGGGGACACTGGGGTGCTAATAATGTTCTGGTTCTTGATCTAGGTACTAGTTACATGGGCTTGCTCACTGTGTGAAGATTTATCTAACTGTGCATTTATGATACTTTTCTGAATGTAATACTTTAGTAAAAATATTTTTAAAAGGCAGGTTGGGGTGTTCATAGAAATAGTGTAAATCTACTGTAAAATAAAGTCAGATTCTTATCTTGAAAAAGGCATAGTATACTTTACCTGTTTATGGACAAAGACAAATTCATAAATAATGAGCCATAAGAAAATGAGATTAATCTGAGGGCTCTTTCTGAGATTTACGAAGATTTCTCAGGACAGTGTAATGAGGAACTAAGCTTGTGTTCCTCTCTTCAGAGACTGAACTAAGCTCAGTGAACCTTGACATTATCATCATGGCCTTAAATGAATTCTTGCTCAGAAAAGGAAAAGATTTATGGTAGGGTTAAGTATGTAGACTCCAGAGCCCAAGACTTTGGGTTCATATCTCTTGACTCCCCCATTTACTAGCTGTATATTTCAGTTTCTCCATCTGTAAAATGAGAATAACAGAGCATGTACCTCAGTGGGTTACTGTGATAATAATATGAGTTCTATATATCAACTCATATTTTTATCACAATAACCCAATGAGGTTGTGTATAGATATGTACCCAATTTACGTATATGATAAATACATATACATATATACATGTGTGTATTTACCACAGTGCTTGGCACATAGATGCTATAAAAGTATTAGCTGTTATTATAGATTCTAGGCTCCTCTCCATTTAAATACTTTATCCCAAATGTTGAGGGACTCTGGTAGGATTAAGGCTCCATCCTGGCCTCCAAATTGTGATTTATTGAAGTGAAAGTCTCCTTATGATGGTGGTCAGCAAACGGCTAGAAAATTCTGCATAGAACAGTAGAAACAGATTCACATGAATCAGGCAAGCCAAAGATCATTTGAACATTTGTACTGAAAGGAATAATAGTAAAAAAGTAATAATAATATTTTCAATGATAATAATAACTTGTACATTGGCTCCCATCTCATTTCTTCTTGCCTACTTAAGGACTTTGCTGCAGAAAATCTTCATTTCTCTCCTGCATTAGAATTTTCAGCTTTCCATTGGATCATTCTCATCAATAAATATGCTCTGATTTCCTTAATCTCCAAAACAAAAAATATTTGCCCCATATCTTCCTTCAGCTATTTTTCTTTTCTCTACTCCCATTCACAGCAAAACTCCTCAAAAGAAATGCTGTTTCCAATATTTCTTCCCTATTCTATCTTGAACCCACTTCAGTCAAACTTTTTCGTTACCAATCTGCTCCTGTTATGCAAAGAAATAAAAGCCCAGATTAATTTAGCTGGAGCAGAAACCACTGGAGTCAATAACTGGTAGGAACACCTAAATGGTGATTGACAAATTGCTATAAGCTGAGAATGGACCTGCTTGGGAGTTAAAAACAAAAACAAAAACAAAAAAAACTCCCGAGTCACATTCTTAGGGGGACTCTCACACTTTCAATACCTTACTACCAAATCAACAGGGCTGCAGTATAATAATAGTGGATCACAACTGTGAGAGCTGCAAGACTCAGACTCTATTTAAGGAGGCTCCAGGAAAACTCCCAACAGGGGAGACAAAACCAAGGTCACTAGGGAAAATTTTAGTTGTCGGTACCACAACTACAGCAGACACTAAGCACCTAACTCCTAGCCAGATAAACATAAAACCTCACACTCCTTTTATCTGATACATCATGTAAAAAATTACAAAGCATGCCAAAAGGCAGGGAAAATAGTCTGAAGAGACAAAGCACCAGAACCAGACTCAAATGTGGCAGAGACTTTGGAATTTTCAGACAGGAAATTTAAAATAAGCATGATTAATATGCTAAAGATTTTAATGGAAAAAGTGGACAATATACAGGAATAGATAGGTAATGTTAGCAGAGAGATGGAAACCCTAAGAAAGAATCAAAATGAAATGCTAGAAATCAAAACACTGTGACAGAAGTGAAGAATGTTTTTGATGCGCTTATTAGTAGACTGAACATGGCTGAGGAAAGAATCTGAGCTGAAAAATATCTCAGTAGAAACTTCCCAAACTGAAATGCAAAGAGAAAAAAAGAATTAAAAAAGTAGAATACCTAAGAACTGTCGGACAATTAAAAAGCTATGACATATGCATAATGGGAATACCAGAAGGAGAAGAAAGAAAGAAAAGAACAGAAGAAATATTTGAAGTGATAATGGCTGATAATTTTCTGAAGTTAATAGCAGACACCAAACCACAGATCCAGGAATCTCAGAGAATACTAAGCAGGATAAATACCAAAAACGCTATACCTAGATATATAATTTAAACTGCTGAAAATCAAAGACAAAGAGAAAATCTTGAAAGAAGCCAGAGTGGGGTAGAGGTGGGGTGGAGTGGAGTGGGAAAAGCTATTACAGTAATCAAAGAGAGACGGTGATAGTTCAAACTAGGGTGGTGGCAGTGTAGGTGGAGAAAAGTGGCTGGATTTGGGGTATATTTTGAAGATAAAGTTGTAGAATTTCCTGATGGATTGGAAATGGGATATAAGAATAGAGATGAAGAGCATGAAATATTCATTGCCCCCTAGCATCACTTTATCTTAGTCATCTCTTTCAATTATTACGTTCACCTACTATTTCAGACTTTCACTACTCCAAATAAAAATTTTCATGGGGTAAAATTGGGGTTATGATGTAAGAACTGTTCCACTCCCTGGTCCTTACCATTCAGCCCCCAACTATAAACTTCTCTGCATTGGCGTTCATCCTTAACTCTTCCATTCCCATCTCAATGGAAGAGGTGTTTCCCAATCCTAACGAATCCCATTCTTCCATATGTGTTCCTGAGCCCACGCTTTTCTGCCTCTTTGTGGTTCCTTTTCCATCGATTATTCCCCTCTTTTCTGAATCCTCAACCTCTTCCTTTCTGTTGGCTCCTTCCCAGTAGTATTTAAACATGTTCAAGTATTTTCAGTGACAGAGCGACAGACAGAGATGGGGAGAGGGGAGAGTTATCACTATTTATTGCCTTTTCTTTATAGCACAGCCTGTTGGAAGAGTAATAATCACTCATTGCCTATGCTCACTTATTTTTGCTGAAAATCTTTTAATAAATGCTACAGGGAGAAATTATATATAATGAGAAGGCAGGTACACTTTACTATTTGCTATGAGCTCCCAAAAGAAAATATTTGTGGGGCTACCAAAGAAAATGTCCTTGGGCTTCCTCACTTCTTACTACTCCTCAGCCTACTGCATTTTTATTCCATTCCCTTCAGGCCACTGAAATTGAAACTGTATACACCAAGGTTATATATAACTTACTAGTTGCTAAATCCAGCAGGCACTTTTCCAACCTGATCTTCTGTGAACATTTGCAGCCTTTGACACTGGTGACAACTCCCTTCTGGAAACTCTCTGCTCCCTTAGATTCTGTGACATTACTGTCTTCCAGACTTTCCCCATACCTCTATAGACAATATTTTCAGTCTTCTTCAGGTGCTCTTCTTCTTCCATTTATTCCATAAACATTGGGACTTCTTAGGATTATATCATTGGGGTTCTGATCTAAGTTTTTGTACTCTTTGTTGAGTAATCTCACTGTGATTATGTCTTCATCTATACTCTATAAAAATATTCTCAAATCTATCTCCAGTGTAGATATCCAACTGCTTAATGAACATCTCTGCTTGGAAATTTCAAAGACACCTAAAATTTTATATGACTGAAGCTGAACTCATAATCTTGTCTCCCTATCTATTCTTTCTCCTATATGCCATGTTTCATTAAATTGCACTCTCAACTATTCATGAAAGCCCAAAATCCAGGGGTCTTCCTCTGCCCTACGATCCCCCTCATCCTCACATGTATTAATAGTTGGTCACCAACTCTCCTCACTTCTACCTCCTAAATAACTCTTGAATTGTGTCCTTTTTCTTCCCTACCTCTACTGCTTTATTTCAGGAACTCATTATTATTATTGCTATAATTTACCTAGATTAAAACAACAACTCCTAACCGGTTTTGGCTCTTTCCTTTTTTCATTAGATTTATCTCTCTAGGCTGGGCACAGTAGCTCATGCCTATAATCCTAGCATTTTGCTAGGCCAAGGCAGATGGAACGCTTGAGCTCAGGAGTTTGAGACCAGCCTGAGCAACATGGTGAAACCCCATCTCTATGAAAAGTACAAAAAAATTACTCGAGCACGGTGGTGAGTGCCTATAGTCTCAGCTACTTCAGGTGCGGGGGTTGAGGGGGGAGGATCGCTTGAGTCTGGGAGGTCGAGGCAGTAGTGAGCCGAGATCATGCCACTGCACTCCAGCCTGGGTGACAGAGTGAGGCCCTGTCTCACACACACACACACAAGATTTATCTCACTCTTTTTTTTTTAATGAAAGCAAATGCATTTTATTTTATAAGTAACAAAATATAATTTATAATTAAATGCAGTACTTCTCAGAACCAAGGAGAGTGAATCAAGTATTGATTTTTGTTGTAATTTTCCCAACAAAATTGTAAGGCAGTATAACACACCCATTATTTCACATTTCACTTCTGCAGCACAAGACTATCACTTAGAAAATATTTGAAGTTTTTTTTTCTTCAACTTTTAAGTTCCGGGGTACATGTGCAGGATGTGCAGGTTTGTTACATAGGTAAACATGTGCCATGGTTGTTTGCTTCACAGATCAACCCATCAGCCAGGAATTAAGCCCAGCATTCATTAGCTATTCTTCCTGGTGCTCTCCCTACCCCCGTCCCCCACCGACAGGCCCCAGTGTGTGTTGTTTCCTGCCATGTGTCCATGTGCTCTCATTGTTCAGCTCCCACTTGTAAGTGAGAACATGCAGCATTTGGTTTTCTCTTCCTGCATTAGTTTGCTGAGGATAACAGCTCCCAGCTCCATCCATGTCCCTGCAAAGGACATGATCTTGTTCTTTTTTGTGGCTGCATAGTATTCCATGGGTTATCTCTCTAAAAGATAAAACTTATCATGTCACTGTTACTTTTAAATTATTTTGATGATTCTCAGTTGCCTTCAGGATAAATCCAAACATTTTAGCATGGCATACCAAGTCCTTTCAAGATCTAGCTACCACCTACCTCTTCAGCTTTATCTGTTGCTACTCCTTCCTCATACTCTAAGCATTGAAAACCTTACAGACCCCTGGCATCCTCCTCGCATTTTGTTATCTTCAGACTTTCATAAAAGCTTCTTTTACTACCTGGAATACATACCATTCTCATTTAACATGAATAACTTCTATTTCCCAACTAAAACTCAGCTCAGGAAGCTTCTTCCAGGAAGCTTTACTTGATCTTTACTTTGAGATAGATATTCTTTCTGTTGCTCCTTTGGCACCCTCTGCATATCTCTAGCACAGCACTTACATTGACTTATATCTATATATAGGACTGCCTCTCCAACAATACTGAGACTCTTGAAAACAGAGATTTGTCTATTCATTTTCTTGTCTCCCTAGTGCCTAGCATTATACCTACCTGGCACATAGAAGGTAATCAAATTTTTTGAATGAATGGTTAAGTAAATGAGAGCTTCACCTCTACCTTCAATTTAATCTGCAAGGTTGTACATTCTCCTCCTTTCATACCTTCCCTTTCTCATGAGTCAGACATTTCTCATTTTAGGTTTAATGTCTCTTTTTAAATACTTCCATCTTGAAGCTTTCCATTAACAATAAACTTAATAGTATACACACACACAAACACACACACTATACACACACACACACTATACACACACACACACATATATATACATACACACATACATATATATTTGTAGATGCTTTATGTTATTATTGAAACACTCATTAATTAGGAGTTCACATATGCTTTTGAAGCTTTAATTCTGAGCAGGGAAGAAATGTTCTTCTTCCTGGTGCAAAATTCACTTATTTTCTTCAAGAGCACTCTAAAATGTGTATTTCTTTCAGTTTCTTTTTGAACAATGAAAAGAAAGAAATTTAATATTTTCTATGTAAAACAATGTGAATATAGCATTTTCTATATCATAATTGATAATTATATAAAACAGGAGACATTAAAATAATTTAATCAAGCAAAAGATTTATGTAAATTCTAAGTGGCAATATAAGGCAATAATATAAAATAATTCACTTCAGAGGATTGGTCCAAGATGGCCAAATAGGAACAGCTCTGGTCTGCAGTTCCCAGCATGATTGACACAGAAGACGGGTGATTTCTGCATTTCCAAATGAGGTACCTGGTTCATCTCATTGGGACTGGTCGGACAGTGGGTGCAGCCCACAGAAGGCAAGATGAAGCAGGGTGGGGCATTGCCTCAGCCGGGAGGCATGAGGGGTCAGGGGATTTCCCTTTCCTAGCCAAGGGAAGCTGTGACAGACTGTACTGGGAAAATCAGGACACTGCCACCTAAACACTGCGCTTTTCCAATGGTCTTAGCAAATGGCACACCAGGAGATTATATCCTGCGCATGGCTCAGCGGGTCCCACACCCATGGAGCCTTGCTCACTGCTAGTCCAAGATCGAACTGTGAGGTGGCAAGCCTGGCTGGGGGAGGGGTGTCCACCATTGCTGAGGCTTGAGTAGGTATACAAAGCGGACAGGAAGCTCGAACTGGGTGGAGCCCACCGCAGCTCAACGAGGCCCACCTGCCTCTGTAGACCCCACCTCTGGAGGCACGGCATAGCTGAACAAAAGGCAGCAGAAACTTCTGCCAACTTAAATGTCCTGTCTGACAGCTCTGAAGAGCGTAGTGGTTCTCCCAGCATGGTGTTTGAGCTCTGAGAATGGACAGACTGCCTCCTCAAGTGGGTCCCTGACCCTCATGTAGCCTAACTTGGAGACAACTCCCTGTAGGGGCCAACTGACACCTCATACAGCTGGGTGCCCCTCTGAGATGAAGCTTCCAGAGGAAGGATCAGGCAGCAATATTTGCTGTTCTGCAGCCTCTGCTGGTGACACCCAGGCAAACAGGGTCTGGAGTGGACCTCCAGCAAACTCCAACAGACCTGCAGCTGAGGGACCCGACTGTTAGAAGGAAAACTAACAAACAGAAAGGAATAGCATCAACATCAACAAAAAGGACATCCACACCAAAACTCCATCTGTAGGTCACCATCATCAAAGCGCAAACATAGATAAAACCACAAAGATGAGGAGAAACCAGAGCAGAAAAGCTGAAAACTCTAAAAACGAGAGTGCCCCTTCTCCTCCAAAGGATAGCAGCTCCATGCCAGCAACAGAACAAAGCTGGATGGAGAATGACTTTGACAAGTTGACAGAAGTAGGCTTCAGAAGGTCAGTAATAACAAACTTCTCTGAGCTAAAGGAGGACGTTTGAAACCATTGCAAGCAAGCTAAAAACCTTGAAAAAAGATTAGATGAATGGCTAACTAGAATAAACAGTGTAGAAAAGACCTTAAATGACCTGATGGAGCTGAAAATCACAGCATGAGAAATATGTGACACATGCACAAGCTTCAATAGCCAATTCAATCAAGAGGAAGAAAGGGTACCGGTGATTGAAGATCAAATTAATGAAATGAAGCGATAAGAGAAGTTTAGAAAAAAAAAGAGTAAAAAGAAATGAACAAAGCCTCCAAAAAATATGGGACTATTGAAAAGACCAAATCTACATTTGATTGGTGTACCTGAAAGTGACGAGGAGAATGGAACTAAGCTGGAAAACACTCTTCAGGATATTATCCAGGAGAACTTCCCCAACCTAGCAAGGCAGGCCAACATTCAAATTCAGGAAACACAAAGAATGCCACAAAGATACACCTCAAGAAGAGCAACTCCAAAACACATAATTGTCAGATACACCAAGGTTGAAATGAAGGAAAAAATGTCAAGGGCAGCCAGAGAGAAAAGTCAGGTTACCCACAAAGGGAAGCCTATCAGACTAACAGCAGATCTCTCGGTAGAAACCTTACAAGCCAGAAGAGACTGGGGGCCAGTATTCAGTATTCTTAAAGAAAAGAATTTTCAACCCAGAATTTCATATCCAGCCAAACTAAGCTTCATAAGTGAAGAAGAAATAAAATACTTTACAGACAAGCAAATGCTGAGAGATTTTGTCACCATCAGGCCTGCCTTACAAGAGCTCCTGAAGGAAGCACTAAACATGGAAAGGAACAACTGGTACCAGCCACTGCAAAAACATGCCAAATTGTAAAGACCATTGATGCTAGGAAAAAACTGCATCAACTAATGGGCAAAATAACCAGCTGACATCATAATGACAGGATCAAATTCACACATAACAATATTAACCTTAAATGTAAATGGGCTAAATGCTCCAATTAAAAGACACAGACTGGCAAATTGGATAAAGAGTCAATACCCTTCAGTGTGCTGTATTCAGGAGACCCATCTCACGTGCAGAGACACACATAGGCTCAAAATAAAAGGATGGAGGAAGATCTACCAAGCAAATGGAAAGAAAAAAAAAAGCAGAGGTTGCAATCCTAGTCTCTGATAAAAGAGACTTTAAACCAGCAAAGACCAAAAGAGACAAAGAAGGCCATTACATAATGGTAAAGGGATCAATTCAACAAGAAGAGCTAACTATCCTAAATATATATGTACCCAATACAGGAGCACCCAGATTCATAAAGCAAGTTCTTAGAGACTTACGAAGAGACTTAGACCCCCATACAATAATAGTAGAAGACTTTAACACCCCACTGTCAACATTAGACAGATCAACTAGACAAAAAGTTAACAAGGATATCCAGGAATTGAACTCAGCTCTGCACCAAGCAGACCGAATAGACATCTACAGAACTCTCTATCCCAAATCAACAAAATATACATTCTTCTCAGCACCACATCACACTTATTCCAAAATTGACCACATAGTTGGAAGTAAAGCACTCCTCAGCAAATGTAAAAGAAAAGGAATCACAACAAACTGTCTCTCAGACCACAGTGCAATCAAATTAGAACTCAGGATTAAGAAACTCAATCAAAACCGCACAACTACATGGAAACTGAACAACCTGCTCCTAAATGACTACTGGGTAAATAACAAAATGAAGGCAGAAATAAAGATGTTCTATGAAACCAATGAGAACAAAGACATAATGTAGCAGAATCTCTGGGACACATTTAAAGCAGTGTGTAGAGGGAAATTTACAGTACTAAATGCCCACAAGAGAAGGCAGGAAAGATCTAAAATTGACACCCTAACATTACAATTAAAAGAACTAGAGACGCAAGAGCAAACAAATTCAAAAGCTAGCAGAAGGCAAGAAATAACTAAGATCAGAGCAGAACAGAAGGAGATAGAGACACAAAAAAACCTTCAAAAAATCAATGAATCTAGGAGCTGGTTTTTTGAAAACATCAACAAAATTGATAGACTGCTAGCAAGACTAATAAAGAATAAAAGGGAGAAGAATCAAATAGATGCAATAAAAAATGATAAAGGAGATATCACCACCGATCCCACAGAAATACAAACTACCATCAGAGAATACTATAAACACCTCTATGCAAATACACTCGAAAATCTAGAAGAAATGGATAAATTCCTGGACACATACACTCTCCCAAGACTAAACCAGGAAGAAGGTGAATCTCTGAATAGACCAATAACAGGCTCTGAAATTGAGGTGATAATTAATAGCCTATTAACCAAAAAAAGTCCAGGACCAGATGGATTCACAGCCGAATTCTACCAGATGTACAAAGAGGAGCTGGCACCATTCCTTCTGAAACTATTCCAATCAATAGAAAAAGAGGGAATCCTCCTTAACTCATTTTATGAGGCCAGCATTATCCTGATTCCAAAGCCTGGCAGAGATACAACAAAAAAAGAGAATTTTAGATGAATATCCCTGATGAACATCGATGTGAAAATTCTCAATAAAATGCTGGCAAAACGAATTCAGCAGCACATCAAAAAGCTTATCCACCATGAACAAGTTGGCTTCAACCCTAGGATGCACGCCTGTTCAACATACACAAATAAATAAACATAATCCATCACATAAACAGAACCAAAGACAAAAACCACATGATTATCTCAATAGATGCAGAAAAGGCCTTTGACAAAATTCAACAGACCTTCATGCTAAAAACTCTCAATAAACTAGGTACTGATGGAACGCATCTCAAAATAATAAGAGCTATTTATGCCAAACGCACAGCTAATATCATACTGAATGGGCAAAAACTGGAAGCATTCCCTTTGAAAACTGGCACAAGAGAGGGATGCCCTCTCTCACGACTCCTATTCAACACAGTGTTGGAAGTTCTGGCCAGGGCAATCAGGCAAGAGAAAGAAATAAAGGATATTCAATTAGGAAAAGAGGAAGTCAAATTGTCCCTGTTTGCAGAAGACATGATTGTATATTTAAAAAACCCCATCGTCTCAGCCCAAAATCTCCTTAAGCTGAGAAGCAATTTCAGCAAAGTCTCAGGATACAAAATCACTGTGTAAAAATCACAAGCATTCTTATACACCAATAACAGACAAACAGAGAGCCAAATCATGAGTGAACTCCCATTCACAATTGCTACAAAGAGAATAAAATACCTAGGAATCCAACTTACAAGGGATGTGAAGGACCTCTTCAAGAGAACTACAAACCACTACTCAACAAAATAAAAGAGGACACAAACAAATGGAAGAACATTCCATGCTCATGGATAGGAACAGTCAATATCATGAAAATGGCCATTCTGCCCAAGGTAATTTATAGATTCAATGCCATCCCCATCAAGCTACCAATAACTTTCTTCACAGAATTGGAAAAAACTACTTTAAAGTTCATGTAGAACCAAAAAAGAGCCTGCATTGCCAAGAGAATCCTAAGCCAAAAGAGCAAAGCTGGAGGCATCACGCTACCTGACTTCAAGCTATACTACAAGGCTACAGTAACCAAAACAGCATGGCACTGGTACCAAAATAGAGAGATAGACCAATGGAACAGAACAGAGCCCTCAGAAATAACACCACACATCTACAACTATCTGATCTTTGACCAACCTGACAAAAATAAGAAATGGGGAAAGGATTCCCTTTTTAATAAATGGTGCTGGGAAAACTGGCTAGTCATATGTAGAAAGCTGAAACTGGATCCCTTCCTTACACCTTATACAAAAATTAATTCGAGATGGATTAAGGACTTAAATGTTAGACCTAAAACCATAAAAACCCTAGAAGAAAACCTAGGCAATACCATTCAGGCATAGGCATGGGCAAGGACTTCATGACTAAAACCCCAAAAGCAATGGCAACAAAAGCCGAAATAGACAAATGGGATCTAATGAAACTAAAGAGCTTCTGCACAGCAAAAGAAACTACCATCAGAGTGAACAGGCAATCTAAAGAATGGGAGAAAATTTTTGCAATCTACTCATCTGACAAAGGGCTAATATCCAGAATCTACAAAGAACTTAAACAAATTTACAAGAAAAAATCAAACAACCATATCAAAAAGTGGGTAAAGGATATGAACAGACACTTTTCAAAAGAAGACACTTATGCAGCCAACAGACACATGAAAAAATGCTCATCATCACTGGTCATCAGAGAAATGCAAATCAAAACCACAATGAGATACCATCTCACGCCAGTTAGAATGGTGATCATTAAAAAGTCAGGAAACAACAGGTGCTGGAGAGGATGTGGAGAAATAGGAAGGCTTTTACACTGTTGGTGGGAGTGTAAATTAGTTCAACCATTGTGGGAGACAGTGTGGCGATTCCTCAAGGATCTAGAACTAGAAATACCATTTGACCCAGCTATCCCATTACTGGGTATATACCCAAAGGATTATAAATCATGCTACTATAAAGACACATGCACACATATGTTTATTGTGGCACTATTCACAATAGCAAAGACTTGGAACCAACCCTAATGTCCATCAATGATAGACTGGATTAAGAAAACGTGGCACATATACACCATGGAATACTATGCAGCCATAAAAAAAGGATAAGTTCTTGTCCTTTGTAGCGCCATGGATGAAACTGGAAACCATAATTCTGAGCAGATTATCACAAGGACAGAAAACCGAACACTGCATGTTCTCACTCATAGGTGGGAATTGAACAATGAGAACACTTGGACATAGGGCAGGGAACATCACACACTGGGGCCTGTCGTGGGGTGGGGGAACTGGGGAGGGATAGCATTAGGAGAAATACCTAATGTAAATGATGAGTTAATGGGTGCAGCACACCAACATGGCACATGTATACATAAGTAACACACCTGCATGTTGTGCATATGTAACCTAGAACTTAAAGTATAATAAAAATAATAATAATTCACTTCATGCATTGGTAGTCATTTGGATTGAAAAAGTCCAGTAACAAAACAGATTTTGTGTTATTTGCCAACAGGATATGGAGCAAGTTAAGAGAATTAGATCACAAAGGATTAAAATTGTAAGCTGTTTCGTTTTACAAATGGAAAGAATGAGGTACAGGGAAGTTAATGCCTTCATCCAGATCACATGGCATGGAATAGAGACAAAACTAAATCTAAACTAACATTCCTTGGTTCTTGGATCTGA
Source organism: Homo sapiens (assembly GCF_000001405.40). Taxonomy (NCBI): domain Eukaryota; kingdom Metazoa; phylum Chordata; class Mammalia; order Primates; family Hominidae; genus Homo; species Homo sapiens. The sequence goes on along the minus strand of NC_000023.11, from coordinate 85,127,395 downwards.
TACTATGAATAATAATACAACCTACATTTATATAGTGCTTTAGAGTTTAAAAAGGACTTTCAGAAACATTGTCTTCTTTGATCCTCAAAGTTATCTTTGAGGTAAGGCAAATATTATCCCTGCCTTATAGATGAGAAAACAGGAGTGGGGTGAAGTGAGGCGGTAGAGGATCAGGCTCAGAGAGATTAAGTAACCTCTTAAAAACATATAACTAGTAAAATATTGAGTAGGGAATAGTATTCAAGTCTTTTGACTATAAATTGTACACTAGATCACAGTATATTGCATAGGACTCTGAATCAGCAAGTTAGTGACAAGAATTTAACTGTTTAATTTTATTCTTTCCTTTTTGCAAAATAATACATTAAAATTATATGATGGCCGACTTCAAGGAAGTTGAGTTGATAAATTAAAATATTCCCTGAGTCAGTTTACCAGTGTTTCAAAGTAACTTTGAATTTTGATACATGAGTCATTCTAACTACAGTGAATACATTTCCTATAATGGTATATATCAGCTTACCCAAAATGGGGTGGGAGGGGTGTGGTGGGGGGGGTAAAACTTGTGATGAAAGGAATAAAGGCCATCGTTTGGTACTCCAACCCCTGGAGGCTGGTTCAAGTCCTGGGCAATTTACTAGGTACCTAATTTGTGCTAGGGGTTCTGAGGGCTACAAAATTTTGATAAGATGTGGTTGCTGCTCCTTGAGAATTTTACACCCTGGTTGGACTGTCCAAATCAATAGGCATAAAAAATTATACAAAAAATACTAAAGTGGTGCAGTTTATAATCCACATAAAAGAAGATCAGTAGGGCTAGAGTAGCTAGAGATTGTCTCATTATACCGAAAGCGGCAGTAGTGGTAAAATGCACAAACTCTGGTGCTAGATTGTCTAATTTCAATTTGATTTTTACTACTTACTATGTGGTCTTAGGCAACTTACTTTAACCTCTCCTGTGCCTCAGGTTCCTCACCAATATTATAGGATTATTGGTAGGATTAAATGAATTAATATGTTTGTAATGTTTAGAAAAATTCCAAGTACCCAATGCTTTACATGTGAGTAAAACATACATAAAATGATTAATAATCTAGATCCACAGGAAGGACTGACAAAGTAGGAAAGGCTGAAGCTAGGGAGACCAAATGAGAAGCTGTTGCAGTAATCTAAGCTGGGGTGATGGATGATAGGGAAGATGTAAAAGATAAAAAGCTCAAAGGAAAGATGGGCTCCTTTGGAAGCAGATTGGAGATACAGAAGGGGAGGAAGAGCCTGAAATGTATTGTGGTTTGCATTTATCCTCAGATTAACTCTTGTGAGGGTAGGTCAATTCTGGGATCTTCAAGATCATTTAGGGTTTGCTGGGCCTGTAATGAAAAAGACCTGAAATCCTTTTTGGCCCTAAAGAGATCTTCTGGATCAAGGGTAACATAGGATTACAATGAGTAAAGCATAACTTGAATCCCCTGGCATCCATCACTGGCCAGGGAATTCTTTACCCTGAGATTGACTAAGTACTCTTAGAAGACAGATCATAATTCATAAAGAATTAAATGTGGAAATTTAAGACACTGCTTGCAATGGATCACATATTTGGTAAGGATTTTAATTGAATGATTCAATAATGGATTGGCTATATATATATATATTTAAAAATTTTTTTCATCTGATATCTATACAGTGAATAGTATGGTGCTGTAGATGTTTGTTTAAGCAAATTCCTATGGGCTCATCATAGATTGACTTGAGATATGTTCTCATGTGTTCAGAGTTTATAAGTTGTATCTACCATTTACACCATTTACATAAGGCAATGGACAATTCTATCATTCTTCTCTGTCTCTTACACACACACACACACACACACACACACTTTCCTATGTGTTTTTACCTTCAAGTGGAAGAAAAAAAAGGACATACTTAAGATTAAAGCAATACAGTGTTCTTTTTGCTTTTGATTGCACATTTTGCCTGGCCCAGTACTACTCAGTGTAATTGTCACTTCCCAAGGAAGGTACCCACATTTCCACGTTAAAACTAAAACAAAAATCAATTAGATATCTTTGTTATACTCTCTCATACCATCCTGTGGTTCCTCTTCATGGTACTTATTGTACTTTTTCACTAAATAGATAGGTATATATAATTTAATGTCTGTGTACCATGTATCTCCAATGCATAAAATGATGTCTGGCATGAGCTGAATGGTCCCTGGGTAGCCTTGGCCAACCCAGTCTATTCTTTTTCTTGCCTATAGTTCTCAAAATAACTATAAAGTACCCTGGGTATGCAATATCCTAAGATAAGGAAGAACTGCCTGAAACAGCCTGGGTCTTATTCCTGTCTCTCCTTGAGTGAGAGAGAAACTGCCCGGGACAGTCTGGCTTTGGTTCCTTTCACCTCTGGAAGCAGTGTCCTTAAAAACCTTTCTCAATGATTCATATTACTCCTGAGGTATAAAACCCAGAGTAGACATCCTTTAGGGGTCCCTCAGCTGTGGTACAAATGGGGCACGTGCAGTCAAGACTCCATCCACCCTGGGTAGATTTATTGAGCCTTGGGGCACCAGCTCACAATGGATCCAAAGACTTCTCTTGTCCCTTGCTTACTATCTATAAGTAATAAATCTGCTTCATATAACTTGTTTTATGTGTGTTCTCTCATTGAACTCAGGCAATAAATAAAGCTGCAGCCCAAAATGCAGTGGGCAGAAAGATTTGGACCCCTATTCCTTATGGTTGGCATAGTGATGATCTTTGCTACCCTCCACACAGTGGGAGTCTTCTCTTAGGGTTACTTATTAGTGAACCTGCTTCACAACATATGGGTGCTAAGTACATATTTGTTTAATGAACAAAATGGAGAGGAAAGCTAGCATTTATTGATCACCTAGCTCCATGCTAAACACTTTATATGTAAACTCACATTTATTCTTCACAATAGTTCTGTGAGGAAGGTATTATTACCATCATTTTAAAGATGAGGAAACTGAAATTCAGAAAGATTAAGTAACATTTCTAATGTCACAGAATTATTAAACAGCAATGCCAGAATTCAAACTGAGGACTGTTTGACTTCAAAGCTAATGCTCTTCACTCTACTCCATAGTTTCAATATCTGCTTAATGTAACTTCTCCATTGAATCTATAATGTAAAAGATATGCCTGGGGGTAATATTAAAAAGTGACAAAACAAAGGAATGAAGCAAATATTCAAAGCTAAATAGCTCCACATCAATTTCTAATATCTAATTATCACAAAGTTGGATTGTAAACAACTATCCAAATGTATTTTGTAGGCTAGCATATTTATAAATCATGGAGTCAATAACACAGTCCTTGACTTTTTAAAACAATTATTTTATTTTTCATAATTAAAAAAATTTAATGTAATATATACTTCCAACTTAAAAAATACAGAAGTATATAAAGTAAAACCCCAAATCATTTACCCTCCCACCATCCTACTCTTCAGTGGTAACCAGAGTTAACAGTTTGCTGTGTTGTGTCCATGCTTTTATTGTTTCTGAAAAATCATCAGCTGTTTTTATTAAAAGACTGATATGAAATCATAGTTGGCAATTACTATGACAGGGAAACCAGGAGTAGGTAAATGTTTTCGTTTAGTGTTTGTGTTCTTAGAGGATGTTTCTTTGTAATCATTGATATTCAGGGTTCAAAGGGTCATGCAGAGTTCATGTGGTCCTTCCAACTTTAGAAGACTGTTTCTTAAAGAGTTTCTGCACAGCAAAAGAAATTATCAACAGAGTAAACAGACAACCTACAGAATGGGAGAAAATATTTGCAAACTATGCATCCAGCAAAGGTCTAACATCCAGAATCCATAAGGAACTTAAACAAATTAACAACTAAAAAACAAACAACACCCCCGTTAAAAAGTGGGCAAAGGACATGAACAGACACTTTTCAAAAGAAGACATACATATGGGCAACAAGCATATGAAAACATGCTTGATATCACTGATCATTAGAAAAATACAAATCAAAACCAAAATGAGATACCATCTCACACCAGTCAGAATGGCTATAATTAAAAAATCAAAAAATAACAGACACTGGTGAGGTTGTGGGGGAAAGGAAACACACATTCCTGGTGGGAATGTAAGTTAGCTTAGCCACTGTAGAAAGCAGTTTTGAGATTTCTCAAAGATTTTAAAACAGAATTTCTATTTGATCCAGCAATCCCATTATTGGGTATATACCCAAAAAATAATAATATAAATTATTCTACTATAAAGACATGTGCACACATATGTTCATTGTAGCACTATTCACAATAGCAAAGGCATGGAATCAACCTAAATGCCCATCAATGGTGGACTGGATAAAGAAAATGTGATATATACGCATCACAGAATTCTGTGCAGTCATAAAAAACAATGGAATCATGCCCTCTACAGCAACATGGATGTAGCTGGAGGCCATTATCCTAAGCAAATTAATGCAGGAACAGAAAACCAAATACCTCATGTTCTCACTTATCAGTGGGGGCTAAACATTGAATACAAACAAGCACAAACAAGAAAACAATAGACACTGGGGCCTACTTGAGGGCAAAGTGTGGGGAGTGGGTGAGGATTAAAAAACTACCTATCAAGTACTATGCTTATCACCTGGGTGACAAAATAGTTTGTACACCCAACTCCTGAACATACAGCTTACCCATGTAACAAACCTGCACAGGTACTCCCACAAACCTAAAATAAAAGTTGTAAGGAAAAAGAAAAGTTTATTTCTTCTTCTTTTCTTTTTTTTTGTACACTTATTTATTTGTTCCAATATGAATCGAGTGCTTACAATATGCCAGGCTCTGGGAATACAGTGGTAAGCAACACAGGCAGGGTCCCAGCTCTCATTATAGGTTAGAGGGAAGACAGAAGTATACAATTTTAACTCATGGTGATAAGTAGTATGACAGAATGTGATTCTTAAACTTCAGAGTGTTGGGATGCATGTTAAATTTGCAGACTGGCCCTACACCAAATCCATTGAATCAGAATACCTGGAGGGTGGATCCCAGGAATCTACATTTTAATAAGCTCCATAGGTGGTTCTAATTTGGATGTTTTCTTTTGGCAGTTTATAGAAGAACAAGGGTGCAAAGGAAAGTGTATGGTGGGCAGCTTTGTTTAAAGGATGTCAGGGAAGACGTCTGCAAAAAGTTACATCTAAATTGAGATGAACAATGAGTAAGAATTAACTAGACAGTTGAAAGTTGGGGGTTGGGAGGTAAATAAGAGCATAACAAGAAGAAAGACTTGCCTGAATATGAGAGCGAGAGAGAATGCCTGCACTAAGAAAGTGAAAGAAGTTCAATATGTCTAAAGAGTTGAGGGTTTTTTTTTTTTTACCTATTTAGTTATTTTTAAACTGACAAATGACAATTTGTATGTATCTATGGTGTACAACACGATGTTCTGATATATGTATACATTGGAATGATTAAATCATGCTAATTAACATATCCAGCATCTTATATCCTTCTTATTTTTTGTGGTGAGGACATTTAAAATCTACTCTCTTAGCAATTTTCAAGTATATTATACATTATTATTATTTATAGTTAGTATGCTGTACATTAGATCACCAGAACTTATTCCTCCTGTCTAACCAAAACTTTTTACCCTTTAAACAACTCCCCATTCCCCACCCCCACATAGAATTTAAGGTGGGTAGGGGGCAGGAGAGTGGTCGACAAGACACCCCCCATGAAGAGGATAGTTCAAGATGGTAACCAACACTGGTACCATAGGGATCAATAAGACTTAAGGGAGGTGTGGAGGAGAAGGAGGTCAAGAAGATTAAGAAGGACCATTCAATCATTTTCTGTCATATTCTTGGTCCATTAGCTATTTCTTGTTAGTATATATACTATATACTAACAAGAAATAGATATACTATATAAATATAGCATATATATTTATATATATACTATATACTAACAAGAAATAGCTAATAACAAGAAATATATATATTTATATATAGTATATATTTATATATTTATATACATACATATATTTTTATATAGTATATATTTATATATTTATATACATACATATATTTATATATACATATTATTCTCTCTCTAAATATAATAATTCATCTACTGTGTACCCACAAAAAATAAAAATAAAATAAATCATATAACAATCCCTTACATTTGCACTTTCTTATACATTTTTTCATCTGAATGGATCCCCACAAAAAATCTATGAGGTAGGTTGGGCAAGTGTTATCATTTCCATTTTACAGATAAAACATCTGAGCTCATGGAGGTTAAGGTTCTTAAGGTCTCAAAGTTACTAAGAAGCACAGAGCTAATTCTTTACAATTTTTTATGTTTGTTATGTTTTGCTTTTTATTTTGCTTTTGCCCAGTTCATTGTTCTTCTACTACCTCTTTCCATATTTGACGGCATCTTGTATTCTGAGATTATCCTCCAAGATTTTATATACTCCAGCCAACTGAAGGCCATTACAATGTTGGGAGTATCATCACCATAGGTGATGATTCAAAAGGTCTCAGGTCAATTTAAGCAGGACCCCATTTGTCTTTCACGCCTTGCTATGACAGACAACTCTAAATATTTTTTGTAATAGAAAGGCTCATAGATGAAAAGAAATGTCTTCAAGTATACGTTGCTAAATCACTAGCATCTAATGAGTACTTATTAACTAAGCACAATATTTCTTGTAAAAACCTTTTTGATAATGTTTCAAGATATTACATAAGATAGTTTATGGCTATGATTTTTCAAGTTCCAAAGTTTAAATGAAGCAGGATTCTCTCATCAACCACCATTAACATAAACTCAATTTCTGGAAATGCAGTTCCTCTAACTTTGTTTCCTGCTATGTTGGATGTTTCCCAATAATCCCAAAGTAAACCAATTTCTCAATTTCATCAAACTTGTTAGCTCTTTTTGGTCCCTTTCATCCCAAAATTACGTTCCTCTGAACAGTTTTTAAATTTACCTCTCAATTTTTCCACAAATATCACTTCTTCATTGGAAGTACAGAAAGACTGGTATTTTTCCTCTTTTGGAGCTGGGATTTCCTTCTAAACCGGGGACATTCCAGAAAGACAGTAAGTAAATAGTCAAAGGTTAGTAAGATTTGTGAGTACAAATAAAGGGAATATAAAAATTTCTCTGGGGTCACAGCTGTAGTATCTGCCCCATTTCACCTCAACCATACTGTGGAGAGACAAGCTTTCTCAAAGTACTAGCACAGGAACAGGGATATTTGAAGAGACTAAAACAACAAGATTACAGTAATATTTTGTTGGGTTACTAGGCAGTTTAAAAGGAGGACTATTTGAAGGAGAAAAAGCGGGATTTAAATTAAAGTTCTTCATAATTAAGACTCAAAGTGAGAACAAGTTACTTCATAAATATATGCTGAATTATCCTATTCTAGTACTTGAACATTTTTTTATTTTAGCCTTTTATTCGCTTAATTTAAGAAGACACTAAACTTCATTTTATTCTTGGTTATTAAAATAAAAATACCTAGATATTTTAAGTATCATTAATTGTTACTAATGGTATCCAAAATCCCTCTTAAGGATAGTTTTTCTCCACCAATTTCCTCTGATTCTCCTTAAAGTATTTGAGGAGCTAAAGTAAAACCAGATTTTTTTAACATAAAAAGTAGGCTCTAACTTGGCATTCCCTGACTTACATATCAAATGCAAGGTATTTAAGCATCTTAAATAGGGCCTTTTTCTAGGCATTGTCAACTGATATTTTTACAAAAAGCCTCCAGAGTTTCCAAGAAATATTTAAAGCGATATTTATTTTAAAATGTATTATACAAATATGTTTCCTGGAACATTGTTTAATGCCACAAAATGGGAAACAATTAAAATGCACATCAAATATGAGATTGGTTAAATAAATGAAAACATATACTTAAGCGGTGAAGTGACAGCATCTGATGGAGAGCAGTGGGCTCTGGAGTCATACTAGCTCTGAATCTGGAACCTGGCTCAATCATTTTAAAGGTTTATAATCGTGGGCACATGATGTCTACTTTTTCCGCAATACTTTAGTTAAAGTTGCTTACCACACACCAGTCTTGTATTTGCGGTAGTGCATTTGGGGGCATGAAAGTGAAGGGATGAGGATCACATGTGAGCAGAGGTGCTGAAAGAGGACAACAGTGACAGGAGCTGAACCCAGGGACTGTAGCTTCTCTAAGCCTCAGTTTATTTATCTGTGAAATTGGGGTCCTTATGCCTAACTCATTGTGATGAATAAATGGGATTATGTATAAAAAGCATTTGCCATAGTACCTGGCACTTGATTAATGTTTGGCATTGCCTCAAACAGCTTGGCACATACTTAATGTTTAATAAGTATTTGTTGAATGATAATAATTTTTTGAAATATTATATGTAATGCTATGGATCTGTGGAAGACTAATGATATATATATGCCAATATTTGTTTGCTTATAAAAATGTATTTAATTAACTTTAGTTGACAAAACTTGTATATATTTATCGTGTACAACATGCTGTGTTGAAGTATGTATCCATTGTGAAATGGCTAAATCAAGCTAATTAACATATGTATTACCTCAGATACTTATCATTTTTGTGATAAGAACACTTAAAATCTACTCCCAGTGATTTTCAAGAATACAATATATTTTTCAGTGAAAAAAAGCAACTATGACTTCAATTTTATTTAAAAATTCATTCTATGTATTTAAAAAGAAAAGAGTAGAAGGATAGTCACTGAAATGTAACTAGTGGTTATCTCCAGATAGGATTCTAAGCAATTTTTCATTTCTATTTTATGTGTTTTGTAAGTGACCTAAATGTCTTCCAATCTTCTGGAGTCACTTATTTTTGTAATAACAAAATGTCTTGAGTTTCCATCCCAGGTAACAAGATTTATTCTCTTTACTCAGCCTTCCTTCTCCAGGGTTACCTTCTTCTTATAAACCTGTTCATGACTCAGTCCAGGCTCCTCATCCCTTCACTTTCATGCCCCCAAATGCACTACCGCAAATACAAGACTGGTGTGTGGTAAGCAACTTTAACTAAAGTATTGGGGAAAAGGTAGACATATTTCCAGATAGCACCAAATAGGAAAACATTTAAAACTGAATATTGACATCTTAAAGATAACCTTTTACTGGCTGTTTTGTGCCCTAGGCCTCAGCCTACTACCCGTTTTGCCAGGTTCTGCTCCTCATGCCAAGAGCTCTGACCTTACATTTAACCCCTCTTCTCAGCCTCTTTCTCTAGACTGCACTCTGGAAAAAAAAAAAAAAAAGCTAAGTTCTTTTTTTATTTGCAAAACAGTTTCATTATCAGCCCCTATCCCAGACTAGCCCCCAGATCCATCTTGCGTTTCACAAAAGGTTACTGCTGGATAACTTTTATAAACAAAAAAAGTCTTTTGTCCCTGATCTCCACCCTTAGCTAAGCAAAGAGACAGCAAAAACAAAGAGAGAGATTTTCCCTTAATTGAAAATTTGCTGATGATATCTGGAAAAGAAGAAAATTCAAATTCTTGAGTGTGCTTTTTTCCAATTACAACAAACTCTAGAGGTAATTTTCTGTCTACCTGTCATAGATATTTTCTACAATGAACATGCATTCTTTAATAAAATATAATACAGTAAATATTACTTTAAAAAGTAATTGTTGCTTATGGATGAATATCTCTAAAGCACTTCAAGTTCTTATTTCAGAACCTATCCCACTTGTCAGCTCTGTTCCAGTCTGGCTCCTTGCTTTAAGGTCTCCTTCCCCTAACCTTTCCTTTTCTCTCCCTTTCTCTCTCTCTTCCTTCCTGTTTGAATCTTACAGGGGTACCAAAAAAGCCTATGAACTTAAAAGGGAGAGAAAAAACAATATTGGCTCTGAGGTAAGAAGATTCTTACAAATTTAAACTCTGCTTGCTCTAGATGAAGATTCTACAAATGCCTTTCTTAATCACAAGTATTTATTTAGATGAAACCAAGCCGGAGTTGTTACCAGTGGCAAATACATGTGGGTCTGCAACAACCTCAATTCTTGCCTCCTCAGAAGAAATAATTTGACTGAGGGAAATAAGGCAGAAGGAGAGACTGAGGCAAGTTTTAGAACAGGAGGGAAAGTTTATTATAAAGCTTTAACGTGAGAATGAAAGAAAGTAAAGTACACCTGGAAGATGGCCAAGTGGGCAACTTGAAAGATAAAGCACACGGTTTGACCTTTGACTTAGGGTTTTATATGTTGGCATACTTCTGGGGCCTTGTGTCCCTTATCCCCTGATTCTTCCCATGGGCTGGGCTGCCCGCATGTGCAGTGGCCTACTAGCGGTTGGGAAGGGAGCACATGCAGTATGTTTACTAGAGTTATACGCATGCTCACTTGAGGCATTCTTCCCTTACCAACCAAATGTTCCTGGAAGGTCATATGCCAGTTAGACACTACTATTTTGCCTCTTAGTGCACATGCTTGAGCCCACATGCCCAACTCCTGAGATCTTATTGGGAAGCTGCTGATCATCAGTTTTGGGTTTTTCTATCTATTGGGAGACTGCCTTTCCCTGGTGCTGGCTGTGACCAATTATTGTTTTAGAGACTACCTATTATTGGAGTAGGTAGGTAGACAGACATGAGCAGGGCAGTAGAGACCCCCCAGCCCTCCAGGAATGTCAGGCGACCATCAGGTGATGGTCAGTTGGTTGTTAACTGTTTCTCTGAAATACTGTCTCTCCTGTCTCTCAGAAGTTGAGTGAGTGGGCTCAAGCATACACATTATAAGGCAAAATGGTGGAGTCTAACTGGTATATGACCTTCTAGTAACATTTGGCTGGTAAGGGAAGAAATGGCTCAAGTGAGCATGCATAGGATTCCACTGCACATGCAGCCCCTCCCGAGTGCTAAAAGGCCACTGCACATGCAGAGAGCCCACCCTAAGGGAAGAGTCATGGGAGAAGGGTCACAAGACCTCAGAAGTATGCCAACATATAAAACCCCAAGTCAAAAGTCAAACCCTGTACTTGATCTCTCAAGTTGCCTGCTTGGCCCTCTTCCAAGTGTACATTAATTCCTTTTGTTCCTGTGCTAAAGCTTTTTAATAAACTTTCATTGCTGCTCTAAAATTTGCCTCAGTCTCTCCTTCTGCCTTATGCCTCTCAATTCTTTGTTCTGCAGACCCACATGGATTCACCACCAGTAGCATACGTTGATGCCATGCGACTGGGATATAATCTGCTGCTAACATACTTTGGTGTCATGTGACTTGGATACATTTCCCAGTGGTAAGACACCTCTCCACTTCACTTTATAGAGGCATGTAACCTCTATACTTTTCATTCTTTGGCTAGAGGTGTTCAACCCCCATATGCAGTTTTCTTCTCCCTATTCACTCTCCTGCCTACTAACCAACCACTAGAATGATTCCTCTCAGCCACAAATGGCTCTGCTCCCCCTGGCTGATCTCAGCTCACCCTGATGTGTGGCTTTCAGGGGTGGTGGGAAGGATCCTGGGGTCCACACTGATTAGAACTGAAACATTAATGGCCCTCCTGGACAGGACGCTCATGAGAGTGGCAGAGCGAAAGCCTAAAACTGTGCAATGTCTGGGGTTTCTTCAGCTTGTTCAACTAAAATCGGCTCTTTCCAAAGAACCCACGCTGCCTATTTTCCTGTTCTCTCTGTGTGTGTTTTGAAATGGCCTTGTGCACCTGCCAGAATGTACACCTTGGGGGCAAGTCTGCCTTTTCTCTAGTTACACTTCACATGCCATGTGACTTCTTAAACACACATTCCCTGTTATTTTTGCACCCAGAGCTCTTGCCACGTTTTCTTGGCAGCAAAAACATGGGCTCCTCTGTGGATATCCCCTGAGATTTATACCTGTTTTTAACCTACCAGCTCAGATGACCTCCAACCCTTCTCCTGTCTTCTGGCACATTGCCAGGACAGACACTAATTGGAACCCCAGCTGTCCCAGCTGTTTATGACTTACCATATACTTTTCATTCCTGTTATGCCACAGGGCCAAGTATTCCAGTGGCTTTTGAAGCAGTTTGTCTGCCTGCATAGGGCCTCACTCTGTTGCCCTTTGAGGAACTCACCTATTTGCTTTTTTTGAGTTAGCCCTCCTTTGGGAGGAGGAGAAATCCTTCCTTTGCCATTTGCAAGTTCTTACCTCAAGCCCCAAGTACTGCAAATTTCCCTCCATTAGGTCAAGAGGGCAAATAAACTTTACCCTCTGGAATCCAAGGGCTGCTGTTTTTTCAAGCATTTGAAGGCTTTCCATGAATATTCCTCTCACTTCCTTCCACTTCCTCCTGTAGCCTCCATTTCTCTAATCACTTCCAACCCCTTCCCAGTATGCATCAAGACCTTCAAGTTCATATTCAAAGGGAAGGAAGTCCAGCCCCCTTGTGGCAGTTATTTAAAAAATAGGCTACTCATCTCCTTAAAGATCATAAGATATGGGAATCAGACAAAAGAGATAATTCTGCTCTTTGACAGAAAATTGTAAAGGGTTATAAAAGTTTTATAAGAATCCTACCTTATGGTCAAACTGATTAAGATTGTATAGATTTGTCTATAAGATTTTATTAAGAACTGGGTTTGACATCAATAGTACACTAACGCAAAGGTAAAATCTGGCTTTCTTTAGACTGTATTTCTATAAATGTGTTATTGGTATGCGTTTCAAAGTTATGCAAACCTTCTGTAATTCTGATATAACTTAGTATATGTTGTGTTAAATTATTGTGTCCCACAGAGGTAACACATTTCCTTTTCAATTTTGTCTTTGACTCTCACTGCCCTAAGACTTTTTGTTATCCACAGACAATTGTTGTCTTGTTTTAATCCTCTTAAAAATGTGGTTTTATAATCAGCTATAGAACTTTAACGGTTGCTCTCAAAAGCAGGTTTCTGATAACTTTGGAGATTGTGACATTAGAATAGAGGAAAACGCTTTCAGAACTCTCATGGAGAGCTAAAACGTTCATGAATATCAAGCAGAGCAGGACTGCATGCAGTGAACAAATAGAGGACTGAAATAATCCTTTAATGACTTTTTGCTTAAAATGTTGCTGATCCTTTTTTTCAGAGTCAAGAAAACATTTCTTTTGAGCTATTTAGAGCTTTTAACAATTGAGTACAGTATACTCTTATAAATAAAATTTGGAGCATATTGGTTCCTCTCTACCTGGTTTCTCAGTAATTTGGAAACTGTTTGTGAATATTCTTAACTTATAACAATACAGTTATTTTTATAAGTGCAATAAAAATCTGTTTTCTTTTGTAATGGGACAAAATTAGAGCCACTAGTAATTTTACCAAATCTTTGACTGGAACAGCATACTTTCTTTTAAGGAATCAAATGTAACTTAGAGAGCCAATAAAAGTCTCTTGTGAAAACCGGCCTCATACCCTGTATACACAGTCCCTGTACATGGTTACTAACCTGTGGTAAGTAAAGAATGTCACTTTCTGACGGGCCCAGGGATCCCAAGTTATCTTAGGATCTCAAGAGGAGAGGAATTTACACAACTCATATGGTATTTGATGGCACCCACCTATGGCTGGGCTTAAGGTTTTAAAAAGTCTTATCTGAGATTTCTTATGGAACAAAGTTCCATCAAAGCCAATTTTAAAAGGAGCTTATATGGCAAATAATTATTCTTGCTGTGCTTTATGCAAATAATCAAGCCAAGTATAATAAAACTAAAGCTTATTTTGCAAAACAAGTCAGTCTTATCATGATTTGTTTTTAATACAAATGAGGACTGGAGACAGAAAAATTATGTTTAAAAAATATAGTATACGTGTTATTAGGCTCTAGACTCATCAGTTGTTTCTGAGTTTTTGTCTGCAATGTAGACTAACCCTGCTTTTTCCTCTGAACCAACTAGTGATCTCTCCCTGCAGCTCAGAGGAAACAAAAGGGTTGGATAATGCAAAAATGTGGATCAACACTCTAATTCTGGGCACATATTGAAATCAGCTAGCAACCCCATGCACCTAACTCTTAGCAGGCATTACTGCAGCATGTCGGTAGCCTCAGGATTTTTTTGAGCTATCTGCAGCCTATTATTCTGGTTTGACATTCTTCTAAAAAATAACCTGATTTGTCTCCTCTTGCCTTCACGCCATCACGCTCCAAATGATCCTCAGTGAGGGATATCATCCTCTCAATATTCAAGAGTCACCCTTTTACAAAGAAACCCTAGACTACCCATCAGTGGGACACAACAGAGGCATAATTCTGCCCCTGACTCCCTTGGACCTAGCTAGATACCACTTTCACTAACCCATGGAGCCACCCTGCCCTGACAGGTAGCAAGAGTCCAAGACCCACAGAACCACCACCACCAGCCCCGCGCTGTCAGAAGGAAAAAGGAAGCAGTTACAGAAGACTTACTTTCATTCATTTTCCCCAAAGAATTAGGGTCTTGAACTCTTGATGGGGAAAATGTTACAGTAGTTAGTCAGGCAGACATGAGCAGGGCAGGAGAGCCCTCCTGACCAGGAATGTCAGGCGACCATCAGGTGATGGTCAGGCAGTTGTTAACTGTTTTGCTAACATAATAATTGGTCACAGCTGGCACCAGGAAAGGCAGTCTCCCTATAGATATAAAAACCTGAAACTGGTGGTCAGCATCTTCCCAATAAGATCTCAGGAGTTGGGTGAGTGGACTCAAGCATGCGCATTAAAAGGCAAAATGGCAGAGTCTGAGTCTAACTGGTATATGACCCTCTAGGATTATTCGTCTGGTAAGGGAAGAATGCCTCAAGTGAGCATGCATACAACTCCAGTAAACACACTGCACATGCAGCCCCTCCCAAGCGGTAGCAGGCCACTGTGCATGTAGACAGCCCCGCCCAAGGGAAGAATTGGTGGAAAAGGAACATAAGACCCCGGAAGTAAGTCAACATATATAGACCTAAGTCAAAGGTCAAACCGTGCGCTTCATCCCGCAAGTCACCTGCTTGGCGCTCTTCCAAGTGTACTTTACTTCCTTTTCTTCCTGCTCTAAAGCTGTTTTTTTGAGACAGAGTCTGATTCTGTTACCCAGGCTGGAGTGCAGTGGCACGATCTCAGCTCACTGCAACCTCCACCTCCCAGGTTTAAGCGATTCTCTTGCCTCAGCCTCCTGAGTAGCTGGGATTACAGGCACCCACCACCAAGCCTGGCTAATTTTTTGTATTTTTAATACAGACAGGGTTTCACCATGTTGGCCAAGCTGGTCTCAAACTCCTGACCTCAACTGATCCACGCACTTCAGCCTCCCAAAGTGCTGGGATTACAGGCCTGAGCCACCACACCTGGCCTCTAAAACTTTTTAATAAACTTCCACTCCTGCTCTAAAACTTGCCTTGGTCTCTTCTTCCACCTTATGCCCCTCAGTCTAATTCTTTCTTCTGGGGAAGCCAGAATTGAGGTTGCTACAGACCCTTACAAATTTGCTGCAGGTAACATACTTCGTTGTCTCATGATTTGGATACATTCTGCTACTAAAAGTGTCTGGATTTTACTTAGCACCTACAGAAAAAGGGGATTGTATGTATTATAGATCTCTGAGGGGTGGCTTCATATGTTACATTAATTCAAAACATTTTGGTAGAGCAGACAATGCATGTACATTTTGAAGTTTTAGAAAAAGAATTTGGGAAGTCTTGGCCTACAAACCTCACTACCTAAACTAGATCTTTAATAAAATAGTATGTTAAAACTAAAATTAGGCTTTTATAAATTTTCTGTTAATACCTGGAATAAAAGAAAACTTCAAATTAAAATAAACAAGCTTACAATATTTCTTAGATTTTTGGTTCCTAAACTGGATAACACTGCCGCCTTGTGGCAAAGACTGACTACTGAAGCTTTTTAAAAAATAGTCTATTAAAAACTATGTTTTCCCTGATGGTGTACCAATTAAAGTGGATTTTTGAATGTTTGATGGAGCCAGTCTTATTCTGAGTTTCCAAGATGAGACAAATTGTTCTAATAAGTAACTTTAAGCAAAAATGTATTTTTTGTATGTTCCGTTAAAAACACAAATGCATTATGTTCAAACCCAATATTATTTAAAAATAACAAAAAACAAATATCTAAATAGTCTTCAACTCATGTAAAGAAAATGCAAAATAAACTCATTAACCAATTCTAGATTATGAAACTGCATTTTTCTAACTTTACTTATTAAAGACATCAACCAGAAACCTATTACTTGCCTCTTCCTCTAAGAAAGTAAAAGACAAACTTCATCCATTCTCACAACAAATTATGCAAATTGTTTGATTTTGTAAAGTAAACAGCAAAATTATCTCATCTCTTTGCCTGCATTTCAGAAGAAAACAAAATAACTGGGTTTTCCTTGTTTTGTCTGGACTTTTAGCTGTGTGACCTATGTCAAGTTACTTAACCTCTCTCAATCTGTTTCTTTACTTGAAAAATGGGGATAAGACTATCTCCTACCTCATTGGATTGTTATGAGGATTGGGTTAATACAAGTGTTCCTTAGAACCATGCCTGACACCACAGAAATAATTCACTAAATATTAGCTCTTGTTTTTATTATAAGGTAGATGGAAAGCAGCAACACACATACATCTAATTTGTATTAGGCTTGACATAGTTCCGCGATGTGACTTGATTTGCTTGTCATGCTAAGATGGGCTCTCTAGGTACAATTTAGAGCTAGCATAGGCCTAATAGTGATTGGGGTCTCTAATTTAAATTGAAAGCTTCTATCTATGGGATGGGCCTTGGATACCCATCCCCATTCCTCCGTTTACTACACTTGGGGAACTGAGTTAACTTGACTTCCAGTTTATTGATAAAATGGGGAACAACGGTACATGCATCACAGGGTTATTTTGATGATTAAGTGAGATAATACATATGTAAAGCCCTTATCACAGCGTGAGACTTAGAACAGCCTCATCCAAAGTTCTCTGGTATATTTAAAAAATAAATAATATTCCATCTGAAACAATATTAGAACCAGTTATATAATATACATTGTTGAGGAAGTAAGCCAGCAGTTAAAATGATGGGAGAATGAATCCTGCAGAGGGGAGAGGTAAAAGGACAAAATGCCTGACCTCACAGATATGAGGATGGAGAACGAGTGGAATGTGTTTAAGAGGCTGGACCGAATAATAATAAAAAGCCTGGAAAGATAGATCTGGGTCTGAATTCAGGCTCTCCACCAACTTTTACGAAGCCTTGGGGAGGTAACCAAATCTTTTGAGTCAGTTTTCTCAGAATTGGGGATAATAGTGTTGATGTGGATTGAATAAGAAAATGAAACGTACATTCCACTGAGCCTAGGCCATAAAGGAACTCAGTAAATGTTGGCTGTAGCTATTATAATTACTATTATTTTTGAGACGGAGTTTCACTCTTGTTGCCCAGGCTGGAGTGCAATAGTGCGATCTCAGCTCACTGCAACCTCCACCTCCTGGGTTCAAGCGATTCTCCTGCCTCAGCCTCCCGAGTAGCTGGGATTACAGGTGCCCACCACCATGCCCAGCTAATTTTTTGTATTTTTAGTAGACATGAGGTTTCATTATATTGGCCAGGCTGGTCTCGAACTCCTGACCCCAGGCCATCCACCCGCCACGGCTTTCCAAAGTGCTGGGATTACAGGCGTGAGTCACCACGTCCAGCGCAGCTATTATTATTTTTAAAGACGTAGTATCTGCATTCGAGACTTGAGCACTTCATCGGGACAACTAGTTTCCAGTGTAAGTGAAAAATGAGGACGGAAATAGGAATTGAATTATTTGAATAATGGGATGAAGGGAAAGGGAGGGGAGTTGCGGCAAGTTTCTTTGAATTGGCTAAAACAGCAGGGACTCTTGGGAGTGCCAAGCATAAGCTCTGAGACTCATTATAGCCTCTTGCTTCACCATTTTAAGCTCTTAAGAGAGGATGAAATAAAGTGGTCAAGCGAGCCCTGCTTTGCCCCACCCTCACCACACGGGGGAGCACGTAGGCACTTTGATACCTGCATTGTGACCGCCATTATGATGCAGTGACCATGCAGGGGCGGGCTGGTGGTTATACTCCTCCAGGATCATTTTCGTCTTCCCTTTACTTCCCCCCTTTTGGCAGGGAAAGGCCAGATGACAACCTGAAACTCAGCCAAGCTTGCAGCTGTGGTCGCTGGTGAAGTCAACTCCAGCAAACCGGAGGCATTAATAATCTTCCTGAGGTGCTCCTCTCTTTTTCCAATTCCCACCTTGATAGAGGGGTATCTCAAAGTGGGCGAATCAAATTGAGAAGAACTGGGAACAGCCAACAACCTCCCACCACAGCACAGTTAAGGGATTCTGTTCCATCAAGACAGCCATCAGCCAATCAGTTGTCTGCCAACCCATCATCTGCCACCCCATCCTTAGTCAACAAAGCAGGAATCAACTGGGCATGAACCAATCAGGCACGAACCAATCAAGTTTATCAGACTCGAACCAAGCAGGCATAAACCAGCCAAGCACAAACTCACTTGGTATGAACCAAATGGACATGAACCAAGGGAGTGCAAGCCTATATGAAATGAACCAAGTGGACATGAAACAACCAAGCATGAGCCAAGCTGGCATGAGGCAATCAGGTACAAACCTACCAGACATAAACCAACCCGACATGAAACAACCAGACACATGGCAATTAGGTAGGAGCCAACCAGGCATGCTGCAACAAGAACTGAGCCAACTAGTCCTGAGCAAAGCAGGCATAAGCCAACCAGACCCATCGCAACCAGGCCCAAGCCAATCAGGCCCCAGCCAATCACGCATGAGGCAAATAGGCACGAACCAATCAGGTATGAGCCAACCAGTGATGCAGCAACTAGACAGCCAGTCAGGTGGGAGCCAACCAAGCATGAGACAAGTAGGCACCAGCCAATTAGGCACAAGCCAAATAGGCATGAGCCAACCAGGCACATGGCAAACAGGACTGAGCCAACCAGTCCTGAGGCAACCAAACATGAGTCCACCAGGCATGTGGCAACCAGGCGTGCAACAACCAGGCATCAGCCAGCAAGTCCCAAGCCACCCAGACATGAGTCAACCAGGCATGAGCCAGCAAGTCCCCAGCCAACCAGGCATAAGGCAACCAGACACTAGCCAATCATGTAAGAACCAAACAGACATGAGCCAACCAGACGCAAACCAATCAAGTTTATCAGATTCCAACCAAACAGGTATAATCCAGCCAAGCCCAAGCTTACTTGGTATGAACCAAATGGACATGAACCAATGGAGTGCAAGCCTATATGAAATGAACCAAGTGGACATGAAACAACCAAGCATGAGCCAAGCTGGCATGAGGCAATCAGGTACAAACCTACCAGACATAAACCAACCTGGCATGAAACAACCAGGCACATGGCAATTAGGTAGGAGCCAACCAGGCATGTGGCCACAAAGCCTGAGCGAACTAGTCCTGAGTGAAGCAAGCATAAGCCAACCAGGTCCACCGCAACGAGCCCCAAGCCAATCAGGCCCCAGACAATCAAGCACGAGCCAAGCAGGCACAAACCAATCAGGTATAAGCCAACCAGTGATGTGGCAACTAGACATGAGACAGTCAGGTGGGAGCCAACCAAGCATGAGACAAGTAGGCACCAGCCAATCAGGCACAAGCCAAATAGGCATGAGCCAACCAGGCACATGGCAAACAGGCCTGAGCCAACCAGTCCCGAGGCAACCAAACAAGAGTCCACCAGGCATGTGGCAACGAGGCATGTGGCAACCAGGCATGAGCCAGCAAGTCCCCAGCCAACTAGGCATGAGACAACCAGGCACTAGCCAATCAAGTAAGAACCAAACAGGCATGAGCCATCCAGGCAGGGGCCAACCAGGCATATGGGAACCGGGGCCGAGTCAGCCAGGCCTGAGCCAACAAGACCTGAACCAATTAGTGCTGAGCCAACCAGGCCTGAGTCAACCAGGCAGGAGCCAACCAAGTGTGAGCCAAATGGGCATGAGGCAAACAAGCATGGATTACTTTCAAATAAGACATGCAGAGGCTGGAGACTGCCCAGAAATTTTGCGACTGATTAAAGTAAGCCTATTTTTATTACATGGAGCCTCATGGCATTGGTGTAGGGCTGAAAGAGTAAGGGAGGCATAGTTGGGGTTCGAATTCTGCCTCTGCTAGTTATGTGTTCATAACCTCTGGTAGTTACTTAACCTCTTTACTCTTCATTTTCTGCATCTAAAATCAAGATTATAACAATATATATCTCAAAAGATTGTTGTTATGAAACAATAACATAAAATGATTACATATAAATTGCTTGGCATATAGTAAGGGGCTCAAAAAGTTATAGGGGAACCAATTCCTGGAAATTTTAGGGACTGAATGTGTTCTCTTTCCTGGGGAAATTTTAACTTTAAAAGAGTGTCTTAGAGAAAAGAAATGCTTACCTTAAACAAATGACCCACCGATGATAGAATTTCATATTTTAGTGGCTAGGATTTTGCGGTAGGGAGTCGCATTGCTTCTAAGGCCACACCTACTTGTAGAAACTGATGATCAGCTACCTAAAAAACAATATTCACATGCAACAAATTTTCCATACATTTTCAGACAGTTCATTGATCACTGAAGCCCATCCACAGACAGCCCCCAGGAGCCAAGGAGCTGGGTTACATATTTCTCATTTAAATGTTTATTTTAATGGCTCCCTTGGAAATCATTCCAGTTAATTAAAGGGACAAGCTATCTAGTAGTCACAGTTACTGTGCTGAAGTTCTGTGGTGCTGAAAGCACTCATTTATGTGATGGACAACCTACAGAATTCCATATAAAGCTGTAAACCATGTTCTTTATGGAGTAAATATGTGGCTGGAGCAAGGCATAGATTGTAGATACGCAGCCCTCATAAGTGTTTTGTAATGAAAATGTTTTAATAATATCCTCACTAATATATTTAAATCTTATCTAAATCAGGCCAAGTTTGTGTTCCCTTTGGAGAGTGTGTTTTAATGGCCAAAATAAAATACCCATAGTTTTCTAGTGAAATCCACCTGTTGAAGTGATTCTAGGCCTGGTTACAGATCTGTAAGAATTGGGTTACCTATCCTTTTATGGCTTACATTCTATTCCATTTCCACAAATTCTCACATCATTTCTCTAACTGGCATTAATCTGAATGATTAGATAACCTATCAAAATACTATGCCCAAGAGATTATTACAGATCCACATTCTTCCAGGTGGTAGAAAACATTTTTTAAAGAGTTTTTTGTAGTTCTAGCATCTGACACTCGGTCGGCAATTAATAAATTTATTGTTGAATGACAATTAATCTCTTTACCTGGACAAATGCACTTTTCCTAGCTTTCCAAGCAATGCCCATTGTCATCACCAAGGGAATAATACATCACTAGATTACCCCATTTCAATGAAACTATCTGAAGGGTTTCTGGCCACATTTACTTTTTAATTTGCCACATGTATCTGATAATACATAAGATGTTTATTGGGAGTAATTTTAATGAGTATTCATTGTGGAAAAATAATAGAAAAGCTAAATTACTCTCTCACATACATGTATATAGTGACTAATTGGCTTTGAGTTTTATGTTCTTCTTAATATTTTATGTCCATTTGTCCTAACTCCTGTTCATTGCTAAGTTTGCAAAACATTCTCTCCTTGCAGAGGAGTTTATTAGAGTTTGCAATCACAGTAATTGCTTAGCTGAATATATTACAGGTTTTATTGACTGTCCCATTCCAAGTATCCTCTGTATGAACTCATTTTATACTATTCTCAATCAGCACATCACAGCATTATTTGGGAGCCTAGTCATTTCATTGCCAGGCAGCCATACTTCTTGCTTACCAGAATTTCTAAAGCTTTTTATTGTGGTGGTCCTTAAAGTGTGGTTTTGGACCATTGGTGAACCACAGATGGTGCTGGGTCATATTAATATTTTATTTTTGTTCATTATACAAACATTGAATGCATATTAGGGGAAGATTATATACCAAGTAGTATAAAAGATATAAGGATTCTTGGATTACAGTCTCTCTCTACCCTCAAGGAGCTTACAGTGTCTTAGAGGAGGTATCGACATAAATATTGTCCTCCCTGACCAATCCATTCTCTACACAGCAGCCAAAATGCTTAAAACTCCATTGAGCTTCTGGTTGCCTTGAGAATAAAATCCAAACTTCTTACTAATGCTCTATGTAATCTGGCCCTTGGGGTTCTCCTGTATTTTAAAAGCTTTTTTCCATTAAAAGTTTAATGCAATTCCAGTCAAAATCTCCAAATTTTCACATAGAAACATTTTAAAAATTCAAAAAAGAAGAGTAATGAGGGGAGATGATCTATACCAGATATTATAAAACTGTAAGTAATTAAAATACTATGGTAACTAGTGGAAAGATAGATCAATGGGACAGAATGGAGAGTCCAGAAGTTCTCTTAAGTATGCAGTCAGCCTTCTGTATCCATGGCTTCTGCATCTGTAGATTCAAACAACCATGGATTGAAAATATTTGTAAAAATTGCAACCGTACTGAACATGTACAGACTTTTTTCTTGTCATTATTCCCTATACAATACAGTATAACTATTTACATAATATTTACATTGTATTAGATATTGTAAGTAATCCAGAGATGATTTAAAATATATGAGAGGATGTACATAGGGTACATGCAAATACTCTGCTATATAAGGGGCTTGAACACTCTCAGATTTTGGTATCCTGGGGCTGAGGGAGCAGGTCCTGAAACTAATCTCCCATGGATACAAAGGGATGACTGTAAATGAGGATGTAGTATATGATAAAAGGGACATGTCAAGTCAGCCAAGATGGGTTATTCAGTAAGTGCTGTTGGGACTATTGGGAGGAAAAGATAAAGGTGAAATTGTACCTAACTTCTTACACCAAAAAAAGTTGAACAAATCAATTATTAATATTATGATCTTAAAAAGAAAACGAGTGAATATTTTTTGCTTTTCAAGCTTGAGATATAAACCATGAAGGAAAGAACCTGAGTATGTAAAATAAAATGATATAGTAAAAAGCCACAATAAAAAAGCCTCAGGTTAAACTGGCAAAAACATTTCATAGGCAAACACCTGAGAGACTTCTCTGTAAAGCCTATGAGCTTCATAATACATAAACTTTATGACAGCTGCCTTGAATGCTCAGTAACTTTTTTTGCCTTACTTCTCAGTTTCTGGCTGCATTCAAGGTTACTAATCTGGATAATTAACATTCATATGTGTGAGGTATAAACATAGTTAATCTCTCTCTTTAATAATATTTATACATCCTTTCGTTGCATTACTGTTGTAGATTTTGTTTCTAGATGACTGGGATTAAGTCTGACTCACTTTTAACACTGCCCAGGACGTCACATGTCAATAAATGTTTAATACAAATTTTATGATGATTATCATCTTAATAATTTATTGCTAAATCATAAACTGAAGGTTTTATCTACTTTGACAGGAATTGGCTGCCTGTGAAAACATGCTAGATGCAATGGAGTTAACAGCAGCTGGTAAGGTGTTTTGTGGTATTTTCAGAGCAAGAAAAAGAAACACACAGTACTACTTAGATATGTGGAAGCTATTGTTCTTGGTACATAAAGATGACACCATTACTAACATGTGCAGGACATAAATTTGATAGCTTTGTCAGTGCTCCACTATTTTATTTTCCTTATTTTTAGTACAAAAATGATACTTAAGAGCTCTTACACCTTTACAGCTCCAATAGACTTCAGCTGGTTTTCAGAATGTAAAATGAGGAGTGTTACTGGTCAAAAAAGTATAATTTAACACCCAGTATGTTGGTAGTAACTTGATACAAGGAAATTGATAAAAGCAAAATGATTTAAAATATTTTCAAAGTATTTACTACATTTTGATAGTCATCAAGATTAATAGGATAGGCTAGTGATTTCTGAATTGGAACATTTTAGGCAGTAAATATGAAGATGAAAAGATTATTGATGTATATAAAATTACAAATGGCAAAGACTAGGTGAAGACAGTTATCAAAATCTAGAAGAATTGATGAAGGATAACTCCTTGAAGTTGAATACTTCAGAATGCATGTAATAAACTGAGAACATTCTACCAAGGAGATAAATGGTTTCACTATAATACTGGGTGACAGATTCAGAAGGAAGTTATGGGATGTTTTGTGGAGTCTTTTGCGCCATGCCCTAACAAACTAGTCTTAGTGCCTTGGTCAGAAATAGAATTCTGAACTGCATAGATCATGGATCAGTTGTCTTATGTGATGATACTTATGTTCTTATACTTGGTAATTAACACCACTAGAATGTTAACTAAATAGTAATTTTGTTGGCTTAAAAGAAATAGTAAGAAATACAAAGTTGAAAGTAATGTACACTCTATGAAAGCAGTACTCAAACTGAAACAGCATAACAAAATGAGCATCCCTAACCTGATAATCTGAAATCTGAAATGCTCCAAAATCAGAAACTTTTTGAGCACTGGCATTACACTCAAAGGAAATGTTCATTGGAACATTTCAGATTTCAGATTAGGGATGCTCAACTGTTGAGTATATAATGACATATTTTAAAAATCAAAAAAAATCAGACATTCAAAACACTTCTTGTCCCAAGAATTTTGGATAAGAGATACTCAATCTGTACTATGTTGAGATAATGCCCCTACACTATTTCATTGTAGTTAGAAAAATACTGCTCAGGATAATATGTAACAATCATAAACAACAAACAACAAAATACTTTGTATACTCCAGCATCCTGCCTTAGGATTTCAGTATATATTTAAATTGCAGTAATTTCATAATGTCCTCAGTCCTGTTTTTATCTTAAAATGTCCTTATGTACTTGTATAGAGGCCGGTGAGATATTTGATTTTTGTTTACTCTTACCTATTGTCACAAACTTTTAAAAAATGTGATTAAATACACATATCATTTTAACTATTTGTAACTGTATAATTCAGTGACATTCAATACATCCATTGTTGTGCAACCAGCACCACTATCCATCTCCAGACATTTTCATCACCCAGCTGAAACTCTGTAATCATTAAACAATAAATCCATAGGTGGGAATTGAACAATGAGAACACATGGACACAGGAAGGGGAACATCACACTCCGGGGACTGTTGTGGGGTGGGGGGAGGGGGGAAGGATAGCATTAGGAGATATGCCTAATGCTAAATGACGAGTTAATGGGTGCAGTACACCAACATGGCACATGTGTACATATGTAACAAACCTGCACATTGTGCACATGTACCCTAAAACTTAAAGTATAATAATAAGAAAATAAATAAATAAAATTTAAAAATTAAAAAAATAAATTAAAAAAAATAAATCCCCATTGCCGACCTCCCTCCCCCTAGGCTCTCATAACTACTATTCTACTTTCTATCTCTACAAATTTGTCTATTCTAGGTACCTCATATGACTGGAAATATATATTTGTCCTTGTGTGTCTGCCTTATTTCACTTAGCATAATGTTTCAAGTTTCATCCAAGTTGTAGCCTGTATCTGAATTTCTTTCCTTTTCAAAGCTGAATAACATTCCATTGTGTATATATATAATGTGAGATATATATATCATTTTGTTTATTTTGACTGTTTCCAAATTTTGGCTATTGTGAATAATGCTGCTGTGAAACATTGGTGTACAAGTATCTGTCTGAGTTGCTGCTTTCATTATTTTGGGCACGTACCTAAAAGTGGAATAGCTGGATCATATGATAATTTGGGGGTTTTTCTGAGGAGCTTCCATACTGTTTTCCACAACAGCTGCATCATTTTACATTCTCATTAGCAAAGCACAAGGGTTCTAATTTCTCCACATCCTCACCAACACTTATTTTTGTTTTTTTGTAATACCCATCCTAGTCGGTATGAAGTGATATCTCATTGTGTTTTGATGTGCATTGCACTAATGATTAGTGATGTTGAACACCTTTTCATGTGCTTATTGACCCATTGTATATCTTCTTTGAGAAGTGTCTATTTATGATATTTACACATTTTGGAATTGAGTTGGTTTTTTGTTGTTGAGTTGTAGGAGTCCTTTATATAGTCTGGATATTAATCCCTTATCAGATGTTATTTCCAAATACTTTCTCCCATTCCATGGGTTGCCTTTTTACTCTTGATATTGCCCTTTCACATACAAAAGATTTTATTTTTGATAAAGTCCAATTTATTCATTCTTTTGTCACTTGTGCTTTTGGTGTTATATCCAAGAAATCATTGCCAAATTCAATGTCTTGAAGATTTCCCATGTTTCTTCTAAGAGTTTTATAGGTTTAGCACTTATGTTGAGGTATTTGATCTATTTTGAGTTACATTTTGTACATGATGTGAAGTTAAGGGTCCAACTTCATTATTTTGCATATGGATATTCAGTTTCCCTAGTACTGTTTGTTGAAAAGACGGTCCTTTTCCCCATGAATGGTCATAGAACCCTTGTATCAATGGGTCAGATATGTGAGGGTTTGTTTCTGAGGTCTCTATTCTGTTCCCTTGGTCTATATGTCTGTCCTTTTGTCACTACCCTACAGTATTAACTGCTGTAGCTTTCTAATAAGTTTCAAAGTCAGGAAGTGTGAGTCCTCCAATATTATTCTTTGTTTTCAAGATTGTTTTGGCTATTTGGGGCCCCTTGGAATTCCATATGAATGTGAGGATCAGCTTTTCTATTTCTGTGAAAAAGGCTGTTGGAATTCTAATAGGGACTGCATTAAATATGTAGATCATTTTGAATAGTATTGGCATCCTACCGATGTTGTATTCCTATGCATACACAGGGTTGTTGTTGTTTTTCTTTTTTAATTTCTTTGGATATTTTCCAGTTTCTTTGAGCAATGTTTTATAGCTTTCAGTATACAAGTTTTTAACCTCCTTGATTAGATTTATTCCTAGGTATTCAATTATTTTAGGGGTTATTGTAAGTGGTACTGCTTTCTTAATTTATTTTTTGGTTTGTTTTTTGCTGCTATATAGAAACACAACTTATTTTTGTTTGTTGATCTTGTACCCTGCAACTTTGCTGAATTTGTTTACAGCTCTAGAAGCTTTCTCTTAGATTCTTTGGAATTTTCTCTATATAGAATTGTGTGATCTGCAAATAGATAGTTTTACCTTTTCCTTTCTACTATGGATTTTTTTTGTTTTTTTGTTTCGTTTTGTTTTGTTTTGAGACAGAGTCTTGCTCTGTTGTGCATTGGCACGATCTTGGCTCACTGCAACCTCCATGTCCCAGGTTAAAGCAATTCTCCTGCCTCTGCCTCCCGAGTAGCTGGGATTACAGGCACATGCCACCACACCTGGCTAATTTTTGTATTTTTAGTAGAGATGGGGTTTCACCATGTTGGCCAGACTGGTCACAAACTCCTGACGTCAGGTGATCCACCTGCCTTGGCCTCCCAAAGTGTTGGGATTACAGGCGTAAGACACTGGGCCTGGCCTATGGATGGTTTTTATTTATTTTTCTTGTCTAATAGCTCTGGCCATAACTTCCAGTACAATGTTGAATACCAGTGGTGAAAGTGGGAATCTTTGTCTTCTTCCTAATCTTAGGGGAATGTTTTCAGTCATTCACCATTGAGTATAATGTCGTTTTCATAAGTACGCTGTATCATGTTGAGGAATGTCCCTCTATTCCTAGTTTTATAAAAGCTTTTATCATGAAAGTGTTGTGCTTTAGTCAAACACCTTTTTCGGCATTCATTGATTTGATTATGTGGGTTTTTCCCCCTTTGTTTCATTAATATGATGTATTAAATTGATATTCTTATGTTGGTGCACCCTTACGTTCCTAGGATAAATCACACTTGATTATGGTGAATAATCCCTTTAATATGCTGTTGAGTTCAATTTCCAATTTTGTGGAGAATTTTTTAACCTATATTATTAAGGAATATTGGCCTGTAACTTTCTTCTAATATCTTTGACTGCCTTTGGAATCAGAGTAATGCTGACCTCACGGAATTAATTACAAAGTGTTCCCGTCTCTTCATTTTTTGGGAAGAGTTAGAGAACGACTGGTATTAATTCTTCTGTAAATGTTTGGTAGAATTCACCAGTGATGAGGCCATTTGGTTCCTTCCTTTTTTTTGTTGGGAGATCTTTGATTACTGATTCAAACTTTTGCAGGTCTGTTGAGATTTTCTGTTTCTTAAGTAGGTTTAGGTAATTTGCATGTTTGAAGGAATGTGTCCATTTCTTCTAGGTTATCTAATTTGTTGTTATATAAATCATAATATTTCTATACCCCCTTTTAATGTTGTAGTGTTGGCAGTAATGTCCTTATTTTCATTTCTGATTTTAATTATTTGCATCCTCTTTGTCAGTCTAGCTGTCAATTTTGTTGATCTTTTCAAATAATCAACCTTCATTGATTTTCTCCATGTTTTTCTATCCTCTATTTTATCTCTATCCAATTTTTATTATTACCTTACTTCTGCAAGCTCTGGGCTTAGTTTGCTCTTCTTTTTCTAGTTCCTTAAGGCATAAAGTTAGATTATTGTTTTAGATAATTTTTTAAATGGCATTTACAGCTATAATTTTCCCTCTGAGCACTACTTTCACTTCATCTTGTAAGCTTTTGTTTGTTGTGTTTTCATTTTCGTTCATATCTCTAAGTGTTTTCCTATTTCCCTTATACTTTCCTCTTTGACCCATTGGTTGTGTACGGTGCGTTGTTTAATTTCCACATATTTGTAAATTTCTCAAGTTTTTTTCCCACTGATTTCTAGTATCATTGTATTGTCATTAGAAAAAATACTGTGTGTGATTTTCATATTTTAAAATTTATTAAGACTTGGTATGTGACCTAATGTATCTATCCTAAAGAAAGTTCCATGTGTACTTGAGGGAAAAAAATGTGTATTCTGTTGTAGTTGGATAGAGGTTTCTGTATATGTCTGTTAGATACAATTGGTCTACAGTGTTCAAGTCATCTACTTTTCTGTCTGGTTGTCCTATATATTACTGAAAGTGGGGTACTGAATCTCCTATTATTGTCTTGCTGTGTAGTTCTCTCAGTTCTGTCAGTGTTTGCTTCATATATTTTGGAGCTGTGATGTTCAATGCATGTATATTTATAAATGCTATGTTCTTGGTGAATTAACCCCTTTATCATTTCATAATGTACTTTGTTTCTTGTAAGTGTTTTTGACTTAAAGTCTATTTTGTCTGATACTAGTATAGCCACCCTAGCTCTCTTTCAGTTACTATTTGCATGAAATACCTTTTTCCATCATTTCATTTTCAACATATTTGTGACTGGATCTACAGTATGTCTCTTGTAGACAGTATATACTTGGATCATGTTTTTGTTTGTTTTCCTTAATCTATTCTGCCTATCTCTGTGTTTTGGCAGGAGTCTTTAATCCATTTACATTTAATTACTGATGAGGAAGGACTCACCTGTACTATTTAACTGTCTTCCATACGCCTTAAAGCTTTTGGTTGTTCCTACTTTCCTCCATTAGTCCTTTTCGTGTGTTTTATTTTTGTAGTGAAACATTTTGATTCCTTCTCATTTCCTTATGTGTGTATTTTATAGATATTTTGTGTTTACCATGGGGATTATATTTGATGGTTATAACAATCTAATTTTGATTTAAACCAACTTAACTTCAATAGCATACAAAATTCTTCTTATATATATATCTCTGTCCCCCTCTTCTGTTATTGATGTCAGGGATTACATCTTTATACATTGTGTGCCCAATAACGTACATTAGGCTGGGCATGGTGGCTCACGCCTGTAACCCCAGCACTTTGGAAGGCTGAGGTGGGTGGATCACTTGAGGCCAGGAGTTCGAGACTAGCCTGGCCAACATGGCAAAACCCCATCTCTACTAAAAATACCTTAAAAAATTAGCTGGGCATGATGGCAGGTGCCTGTAGTCCCAGCTACATGGGAGGCTGAGGCATGAGAACTACCTGAACCCAGGAGGCAGAGGTTGCAGTGAGCTAAGATCATGCCACTGCACTCCAACCTGGGTGAGCAAGACTCTGTCTCAAAAAAATAAAAAGTAATAATTATTTTTATCCATTTGTCTTTTAGACAATGTAGAAAACAAAACGTGGAGTTAGGGTCATCTCTCAGTATATGCAGGAGATTGGTTCCAGGACCCACTGCATATACCCAAATCCATGCCTACTCAAGTCCCACAGCGAGTCTTACTGAACTCACATATATGAAAAGTCAGTCCTCTGTATATGTGGGTTTCTCCTCCAATGAATATCGTTTTTGATCTGTGTTTGAAAAAAATCCACGTGTAAGTGTACTTGCACAGTTCCACCCCATGTTGTTCAAGGGTCGACTGTATAAACATAATTACAATACTACCTCTTATAATTGCTCATGTATCTGTCTTTACCAGAAATCTTTATTCATACAACTTTGAGTTACTGTTTAGATTACTTTCATTTCAACCTGAAAGACTCCTTTTGGCATTTCTTGCTGGGCAGGTCTAATGGTAATGAATTCCTTCAGTTTCTTTCTTTTTTTTTTTTGAGGGGGCTGGGGTGGGGGGTGTTTGGGAATGTCTTAATTTATCCCTCATTTTGAAGGACAGTTTTGGTGGATATAAAATTCTTAGTTGACAGTCCCTGCTCCCCCTGCCCCCCAGACTTTAAATATCAATCCACTGCTTTTTGGCTTCCAAGGTTTCTGATGGGAAAGCAGATGGTAATCTAATTGAGGATCCCTCATATATGACAAATTGCTTCTCTTGCTGTGTAAGATTCTGTGTCTTTGGTTTTGAGACTTTCATTATAATGTGTCTTGGTGTGGATTTCTTTGGGTGTATCCTAGTTAGAGTTTGTTGAGCTTCTTGTATTTGTAGATTCATGTTTTATGTCAAATTTGGTTTTCAGCAGCTATTTTTTCAAATTCTCTCTCTCCCTCTCTCCTGTTAAGTCCCACAAGATATATCCTGTTCCACCTGATGATGATGATGTTCCACAGACACTTTTGGCTTTGTTCACTTTTCCTCATCCCTTTTCTGTTTCTCAGACTCAATAATTTCACCTGGCCTAGTTTCAAGTTCACAGACTCTTTCTTCAACTTATTCAAATGTGCCTTTGAACCCCTCCAGTACAGTGCATTTTTTTTTCATTTCAGTTATTGAACTTTTAAGCTTCAGAATGTTAGGGGGAGGATTTTTTAAAATTTATATCTATATTATTTTGTTTACATATATTTTTCCTGTATTTGTGCATGTCTTATCTCTCTGGGCATCTTTAAGACAGATGTTTTAAGTTGTTTAGTAAGTCAAACATCTGGCTTTCATCAGCTATGTTTTTTGTTAATGTATTTTATTCCTTTGAATGACCATCATTTCTTGTGATTTTTGTTGAAAGCTAGACATTTGAAACTTATACTATGGTAACTCTGGAAATCAGATTCTCCTTTTTCCCCAGGATTTGATGGGAGTTTGTTTTAAAGCATTACAGGGCGTTCTCTGTGTCAGGGATCAGCCTGAGTTGAAAGCTTAATGTGTTCTCAGGTCCCCTCTCCATCTTTTTTTTTTTTTTTTTTTTTTTTTTTTGAGACGGAGTCTCGCTCTGTCGCCCAGGCTGGAGTGCAGTGGCGGGATCTCGGCTCACTGCAAGCTCCGCCTCCCGGGTTCACGCCATTCTCCTGCCTCAGCCTCCCAAGTAGCTGGGACTACAGGCGCGCGCCACTACGCCCGGCTAATTTTTTGTATTTTTAGTAGAGACGGGGTTTCACCGTTTTAGCCGGGATGGTCTCGATCTCCTGACCTCGTGATCCGCCCGCCTCGGCCTCCCAAAGTGCTGGGATTACAGGCGTGAGCCACCGCGCCCGGCCTCCATCTTTATCTAGTCACACATGGTAACTTTCTAAATTCCCCTGTATATATGTTTTTAATTCCCAAATGTCTCACAAAACAGGGCAGCTCCTTTAAATCTCCTGGAAGCCACTTCAGCTCGTGGGGGTTGGAACAATGGCAGTTAACCTCCAAGTCGTCACCTCAGTGATCAGAGTAACAACACACAGTCAAAACACAGAACTTCAGTATTTTGAGGACAAGAGGTTTATTGGTCACCCTTGCTCCAGCAAGCTGCTACAGAAATACAGGTTGCTGTTCCCATGGAGTAGAGGGTGCTGAGTGTTGGGTAGCTGCCACCTCACTGATGGCTGAATTTGATCCAAATTAACTGCAGTTGACCAGCCAGGCTGTCTCCTGTAAGTTGCAAATGTTCAGATAAACTCCAGAGTTCCAAAATATTCACTTCAGTTTCCGCCAATACAATTGCTATCCAGGTGGAGAGAGAAATTCCTAGTGCTTCCTATCCACCATCTCCTTCTCTCTGCTATAAACTTTCTGACATCCTATATATGAATTGATATTTCAGATTTACTCAGAGATGGCTTTGGGGACAATCCCCTTTTCTACTGCCTGATTGCAGAAGTAAACGATCAACAAAAACCATCAGGTAGAGTAAACCTTTCTTCTCCAGTTCAATCTGGAGTATATTTTTTCCATGCTGAAAAATAGTACAGTTTTGTAGCATATAATTACTATTAAGCAGAAGAGAATGTGTATAAACCCAGTTTTTTTAAAGAAAATGCATGGTATGTACTTATGTTTGTATAAACATTATTATTAAGAGACAGGGTCTCGCTCTGTCACCCAGGCTGGAGTGCAGTGGCATGATCATGACTCACTGCAGCCTCCAACTAAACTCCTGTGCTCAAGTGTCTCAGCCTCCCAAGTAGCTGGGACTACAGACATGTGCCACTATGTCCAACTAATTTAAAATTATTTTTTGTAGAGACAGGGTGTCACTATGTTGCCCAGACTGGTCTCAAACTCCTGAGCTCAAGCGACCCTCCCGCCTTGGCCTCCCAAAGCACAGGGATTACAGCCATGAGCCACTGCGCCCAGCTAAAATTTTTTGGAAGATCGTACACCACACTATAAAAGGAGGGCTTATATCTTAAAGGTTGTATTTTAAGGGACTTAAGTCCTCTACACTATATGTTTTTGTATTGTTATTTTTTTCCAGTGAGCATTTATTACTTTAATAGTTAAACAAACGCCAAAAGACATTCAATTTGGGGGTAAAGAACTGGCTAAGATTCAACCAACCTTTCTACACCCTTTCTTCTCCCTTCCTAGGCAAACTGACTGTTGGATTTGCCATGTACTACTTTACATACGACTCATGGACTGGCAAGGTACTTTACCTAGAGGACTTTTATGTCACACAAGCTTACCAAGGTAAAACTAAAATTTATGATATTACTTTTAAATACTTTAAAAATTAAAGTGACATATTTTAAGGAGATAGGGCTTTACTATACATACGGTGTTTTAGTTAATGTAACTTATTGCTACTTAATGAGTTTGATCACTATCCTAATGAGTTTGATCTAATCTGTGATTGTGAAGACTCAGTCACAGATTAGAAAAACATTTTATTAGTTCCTCTCAAGGTTTGAATAAGCCAAGCTATCACATGGCTATATATTTTTTTATTTTGTTTTTGAGACAGGGTTTTCTGTCACCCAGGCTAGAATGCAGTGGTGTGATCACGACTCATTGTAACCTCAACCTCCTACACTCAAGCAATCCTCCCACCTCAGCCTCCCAAGTAGCTGGGGCTACAGGCATGTGCCACAGCACCCAGCTAATTCTTTATTTTTTGGAGAAACAGGGTCTGTGTTGCCCAGGCTGGTCTCAAACTCCTGGGCTCAAGTGATCCTCCTGCCTTGGCCTCCCAAAGTGCTGGGATTACAGGTGTGAGCCATCGTGCCATCACATGTGTGAGCCATCGTGTGAGTATAGGCCACACAGCTATACTTTTATCTTTAAAAAATGCTTTCACATTTTAGGTGGTTTTCAGTAAAAACAGCTAAGAAATATACCGTTATAAGACAATAGTGGCAGAGACTCACTTCTTCACTGATCTTTAAAATAAACCCAAACTCTTCTATGACCTTTGGTACGTCATTCCAATTAGGAAAAAGGGATATGAAAGCATTCACGAGTTGTGTTTCCAGAAGCTATTAATAATATACAAAAAACAGATACAGAGTTTTAGATATTATTTATTTTAAACTAAAGCAAATAACAAGTTAAGTGAAATTTGCAGTTTTCACTTTGCATTGTCTATTTAAAAGGCCTAGGTATTGGAGCTGAAATGCTGAAGAGGCTAAGTCAGGTATGTATTACAATTAGTATTGATATTCTATACATTAACCTTTTCTTAATAAATATTCACAGGGCATAAATTAAATCATTAATCTCACCATTTGAACATAACCCCAACATATACTTCAAATTTCTACCCAAATTAAACTGGATTTTCAAATCAGATGATCATATACAGTATATGAATTATAGTCAATTAAAATTGATTTATATATAATCCACAACCACACTATACACCCTTTTTGCTATCAAGGGAAAGTAAGAAGGAGGGAGATTAGAAAGCATTTTTATTCAAAAACACAGGCTCACAGTATGAATATTACAAGACTATAAAAGCAAGATCTTCTTGTATTTTGGAAACATATGAGAACATGTGTTCTTTTAGGTACACCTTTTCTGTATGATAAAGGCTTTGCAAATCAGTTTTGAGATTTTAAAGAGGGCTTTAAAGCTCAGAACAGTGAGACTTTTTTCTTTTTACAGCTATAGAAAAGTTCAAAAGGTAACTACTATATTTGGAAGTATTATTCACACATAGTGTCTTGCATAGAGTAGACCTTCAATAAAATATATGTGTTAACGAAGATTATACTTTCAAATGAAAGTAATATTTGCTTGTTTGTTTTTAAACAGATAGCCATCACAACTCAATGTAACTGCATGCACTTTCTTGTCGTCATTTGGAACCAGGCTTCTATCAACTACTATACTAGTCGAGGGGCTTTAGACCTTTCCTCTGAGGAGGGCTGGCATCTCTTCAGGTTTAACAGAGAAGAACTCCTGGACATGGCATGGGAAGAATGAAAGAGGCTTTGTAACAACTCATCCCAACACAGCCTCCAACATTTGACTGTCACCTGAGTCTAACAGCAGTTTGACTTTGTTGTACAATACAGCAAGTGATCATCACATTCTTGTTTGAGCAGATCTTTTATTTTGAAACAGATTTTGTAGCTCTAGTCAACTTTCCATTATCCAAACCAATATTCTAACGGCTAGTAGCAGTAGTGATAATCCAAAAGAGCAGATAATTTAAAAGTCACTTATACTTAGCTTTGCGCTATTTTTTACCTATCATATTTCATCAAAATTAAGGTGCTTTTCACAATTTGACATATCTGATGTCGGGATAAATGTAATGATCAACTGGCAGCATTTTTTGTTTGTTTGTTTTTAGAGGCAGGATCTTGCTATGTTGCTCAGGCTGGTCTCAAACTTTTGGCCTCAAGCAATCCTCCCACTTCAGCCTCCCAGACATAAGCAACTCTGCTCAGCATTTTTTTTTAAATTAAAGGTATATGATATGCCTTAGATTTGATGAAATATGGGTGTTTGAATATATTCAGATCTGAGGTTTAAAAAAATTCATTTCAAATACTGGAGATAAATTCTGAAGAGCTTACTTATGAAAAACTAGCAAGTAAACTGCTTCCCTACCTTGAGCAGCTTAAGTACCACTGCCTCCTTGACATCATCCCAGTACTACATTCTATCTCTGAACATCCATAGCTCTTTGGTTGTACTTATCTTAGGGAAGATACCACATACAACACTATATTTCTATGTTTCTCTCTTTCCTAGTAGAGTATAAGTCCTTTGAAATAATTCTAACTTTTGTGTCCTGTGCTGCAACCAGCATAGCAGAACGTGTGAGTTCCTACTACCTACCAGGCACTTCATGGGCATAGAAACTACACAAAAATTATTCAGTGATATCCACAAGGAACCTTGTCTGTGAGAAAATATTAATTACATAAATTGTGTAAAGTACCATATCTGTAAATACCAGCTATCACTTGCTAGTTTTTCATAAGTAAGCTCCTCAGAATTTATCTCCAGGATTTGAAATGAATTTTTTAAAACCTTGGATCAGATCTCAAACACACTCATATTTCATCAAATCTAAGACATATTATATACCTTTATTTTTTATTATTTATTTTTTGAGACTGAGTTTTGTTCTTGTGCCCAGGCTGAAGTGCAATGGCACGATCTCGGCTCACTGCAGCCTCCACCTCCCGGATTCAAGTGATTCTCCTGCCTCAGCCTCCCAAGTAGCTGGAATTACAGGCATGAGCCACCACGCCTAGCTAATTTTGCACTTTTTGCGTGTTTTTAGTAGAGACAGGGTTTCACTATGTTGGTCAGGCTGGTCTCAAACTCCTGACCTCAGGTGATTCACCCACCTTGGCCTCCCAAAGTGCTGGGATTATAGGTGTGAGCCACCATACCCGGCCATACCAAATACCTTCATTTTTTTAAAAAAGGCTGAGCACAGTCACTCATGTCTGGTTGGCTGAGGTGGGAGGATCGCTTGAGGCCATGAGTTTGAGACCAGCCTGGGCAACATAGCAATACCTATCTCTAAAAGACAGAACATCTAAATTCTACCCTGGAGGATTGAGAAAGGGAACATGACACTGGAATTGGACTTGTAGGATGGGTAGAAGTTAGAATGTAGAGCAGGATAAGATGGAAGAACATTCTAAGAGGACACACTAGCACAGGCAGAGAAAGAGGCAATAATGAGCAAAGCATGTTCAAGAAACAAATGGTATGTCATAAAGACAATATAATACACATTAGCAGTAGGGTGGGTAAGGAGAGGGAAGATAGGATTAGAAGGTAAGCTGGAATCAGATATGAAGGGCCTTGTATATCAGACTAAGGAGTTTTGATTCTGCAGGCAATGATGAGCCACTAAAGATTTCAGAAAGACAGCTATTCATTATAGTTGTCAAGACAACTATATCATAATAGACAAATGGGTTAGAAGAATAGGGTAGTAGATACTGTATGTTAGCTTTAATTCAGCACCTGTTCCCAACCCCTTACCCCTTGCCTTCCTCACCACAGGGGAAAAGAAACATGATTTCCCTATTCCCTATCTTCCTTGAGCTAAGTGTGTGGCTATATGACAAGTACTGGTTGAGATATACACAGAGGTCTTCTGAGGAGATTCTAAGAAAGCATTTACTTTTCTGGTAAAAGGGAGTCAGACGCATCTTGTGTACATTTTTATCTGCTATTTCCTACTTTGAATGTGTATCTGCTCCCTGGAGGTACAGCAGACATCTTGTGACCATGAGGTGACAAACCAGCATGCTGTAGAGGACAGAGTGGAAAGAGAAAAAGTCTACGTCCTTGATAGCACCAATGAGCCACTGTCCCAACCCTATACTGCCTAATTCTAGGCTATAAATAGGATAGGCCTTTTTTTTTTTTTTTGCTTAAGCTAATATTAAATATTTGTTTAACTAGTTTACTGTCACCTGCAAGCAGAACATATTCTGAAATGAGAGACAGCAAGATTGACAGTGAGCAAATTAGCCTGAAGGCTATTACAGTAACCCAGAAAAGTGATGATGATGACTTGAGGGAGAGTAATTATAGGATTAGAGAAGACAGAATAGATTTGAAGGAGCGGGAGGTAGAGACAATTTTGTTTTAGGCACATTGACATTGGCATATCTATGGGATGTTAGGTGAATATAACTAGTAAGTAGAAATAAAGGTCTACAGCACTAGAGAGATATGGGGGTTGAAAATATGAATAATAAAACAAATGGTGCCTGAAGCCAGTGAAGTCTGTTAAATGAAAAATGAGTGTGCATATAGAATGAGAAAATAGGACTAGGGATGAAACTTGAGCAGCCTCAGCATTTAAGGGATTCAGAGCAAGAGAAGAAAAATGAAGAATAACAAAAGCAGGAAAAATAGAGAGCAAAGGGATAAGTGAGTCTCAAGGAGAGAGTGGTGAAGAGTCAATAATGACATAAAAATTCAAGTAGGGGCTGGGTGCGGTGGCTCACGCCTGTAATCCCAACACTGTGGTAGGCTGAGTCGGACAGATGCTTGAGCTCAGGAGTTCGAGACCAGCCTGGACAACATGGTGAAACCCTGTCACTACCAAAAATACAAAAAATTAGGCATGGTGGCGGGTGCCTATAGTCCCAGCTACTTGGGAGGGTGAGATGGGAGGATTGCTTGATCCTGGGAGGTGGAGGTTGCAGTGAGCTGTGTTTGTGCCACTGCACTCCAGCCTGGGCAACAGAGCAAGACCCCATCTCAAAAAAAATTAAGCAGGTATGGAGGCCAGAATGTCACAAGACAGAGAGGACTTGAAAGTAGGGAAAAAAGGGACAATATTTACTTTTGTCAAAAAGTAACAATTACTTTTTAAAGAAGTATAACAATTATAGGAAGGAGAGAGAAAAAATAGTTCAAGGGAAGAGGCCAAGTTAAGGAAAGGTTTTTGTCTTGTTTTGTTATTGTTGATTTAAGACAGAGAAGACCTGCAGCTATGTAGAGGTGGAGGAAAGAAACTACAGTATCTACTACCCTATTCTTCTAACCTATTCTTCTAATTTGCTCACTGTAAAAAGAGAAACCGAAGACTAGAAATTAAACAGGGTGGAATATGGTCTTAGATGGGAAGGAATGAGGTCAAGAACACAAAGAGAAGCATGTCTTAGAAAAGGGGGATGCATGGCTGAAAAGAGGTAAGTCTTGAAGGTAGATGGGAAGAAGTTTTGGGAATGGTCATATCTAATAATTTAGTTTTTTCTCTATGAAATAGGAGGCACAGTCAACTTTGACAGTTCTAAGAGGCTTGAGAAGAATAAAACGTTTGTAATACCTCTTCCAGGGAACACAATAGTAAACCACTTAGGAACCAGTAGAAGGATTGCTAAGCAGTATTAGGAAGCCTGTGTAGCATATGGCCCTCTCAAATAGGTAGAGATGTTTTTAGATATTTAAGAGGAATTAACATTAACAAAACCAAGGGACAAAGCCAAGCTCAAGTCCCATAAAACATGGATATTTTATTCCAGCTCTAGGAAATGGGAAAAAAAAAAAAAAAAAAAAAAAAAAAAACAGAGGGAAACACACCTTTCCATACACCATTCTAATTTAACTAGCATTAATCTGGGAAAGCTAGAGCAGAAATATATGTTTATATGTATAAATATGTATGTATTTATACATATATATGTATAAATATGTATGTATTTATACATATATGTATAAATATGTATGTATTTATACATATATGTATAAATATGTAT
The DNA here is from genome assembly GCF_000001405.40 of Homo sapiens. Taxonomy (NCBI): domain Eukaryota; kingdom Metazoa; phylum Chordata; class Mammalia; order Primates; family Hominidae; genus Homo; species Homo sapiens. Next base: position 85,088,125 of record NC_000023.11, on the reverse strand, counting down.
GTATTTATACATATATGTATAAATATGTATATGTATTTATACATATATGTATATGTATTTATACATATATGTATAAATACGTATTTATACATGTATAAATATGTATGTATTTATACATACATATATATATATGTATTTTTAGATTTTAATCTCACTAGAATTCATGTCTTCATTTTTTTTTAAGTGCCCTTAAAGGTCATCAAATGCAAGCTAATACTTCTACCTAAGTCTCCTCATCAATCATTTAATATTGTTTACACTGCATTCACAGTTTGTGTGTTAACCACTTATGTAATTTATCAAATGGCATATTTGGAAATGTAAGGGAGAAACTTGGTTTAGGTAATACTCTATGTATCAGTTACCCATTACATGATTTATTTTCATCATTATTTGCAACGCCACACATCTTGTAGTTTTCTGTGTAGTCTCTGCATGCAGTCTACTTCAGCTTCTAGTGCTGTACATATCTATATCTTCTGGGTGGGACTGCCCGTGATCCATGAGCTTGGGGTCAGGCATAAACTGGGTTGCACCTGATAAAGTATTAAAATGAAAAGAAAAATTAGTCACTTAACAAATTTATTTTTGATACTGGGAAGACAGCAGCGAACAAACCAGATAAAAATCTCTAGTGACACAGACCTAACATTTGAGTTAGGTGAGACAGACAAACTAATTAAATATATATCAGATGGTGGTTAAGTGCTATGTGAAAAAATGAAACAAGGAAGGATATATGGAGTGCTTAGGTGATTTGTAATTTTAAATAGGGCAGCCAGGGAAAGCCTTCTGGAAAGGTGATACATGAGCCGAGAACTGAAGGAGGTGAGGGTGTGCACCCTATAGATACCAGCAGGCAATGCCTTCCAGGATGAGCAGACGGCAAGTGTAATGGACCTGAGGTATGTCTGAGGAACCAATATGGTTGAAACACAGTAGACAAATGTGGTGTATGTAGGGGTGGCGGCAAGGCAGTGAGATGATAGGAGATGTGATCAAAAAGACAATGGAAAGCTAGGTCACACAGGGCCATGGTAAAGATTTTGGCTTTAAGTGAGATGAGAAGCTACTGGACAATTTTGAGTAGAGGAGTGAATGATGCTATGTTTTTAAAAAGATCACTCGGCCGGGCGCGGTGGCTCACGCCTGTAATCCTAGCACTTTGGGAGGCCGAGACGGGCGGATCACGAGGTCAGGAGATCAAGACCATCTTGGCTAACACGGTGAAACCCCGTTTCTACTAAAAATACAAAAAATTAGCCGGGCGTGTTGGCGGGCGCCTGTAGTCCCAGCTACTTGGGAGGCTGAGGCAGGAGAATGGCGTGAACCCGGGAAGCGGAGCTTGCAGTGAGCCGAGATCGCGCCACTGCACTCCAACCTGGGAGACACAGCGAGACTCCGTCTCAAAAAAAAAAAAATCACTCTTGGCTATGGGGAAAAGAAACTATAGGGAAACAAGGGATAGAAGCAGGGAGACCAGTTAGAAAGCAATTACAATACTCCAGAAGACATGCTGAGGGCTTTAGTTAGGATGGTGGAAGTAGAAGTGGTGAAAAGGTACCAGATTCTGGATAATGTTGAAGGTAGAATAGACAAGATTTCCTAAATGGACTGACTATGTCTTGTGAGAGAGACTCTTCAACTTGAGAAACTGGAAGAATGGAGGTGACATTTATTGAGATAGGGGAAAATGTGGGAGAAGCAGGTTTAGGGGAAAACAAACGAATCATTAAGTGTTGGATGTGTTAAATTTGAATTGCTTACTAAACATCTGAGTACAAATGAGTCTTTTGGGTTAAGATTAGAAGATGTTAAGAGGGTTAGGAGAATGTAGGAAAGAAGATTAAGGTGGAAAGCCAGTGAATGAGGTAAGAGAACCAAGAGCAAGAGATATCCCACAGGCCAAGTGAAGAGATTGAAGGAGGAAGGAATTTAACCTGTGTCAAAGGTTACTGATGGATTGCATAAGATGGAGATTGAGAATCAACTCCTGGATTTGGCAATGTGTGGATCACTGGTGATCTTGACAAGCTTCCTGTGTCCCCAGCAAGTAGCTAAGTTATTTTCATGCATTATCTCATAATCCCACCATGAAGCAGATACTATTTTTACATTGTCCTTATTTTACAGATAAGAAAATTTTAATTTGGAGAGGTTAACTAACTTGACCAAAGTCATTCAGCTGGTAAGTGGTGGAGCCAGGAATGAATCCACATTTGTCTGACCACAACATAACAACCCAGGCTCTTCTTTAAAATGATATTTATAGCAGTAAAAATCTCATACAACTAGTTTTAGTACTAAACATGATAATGCACACAAACTGATGCATATAAATACCTTGTGCATGGTAAGTAGGCAAGAGACAACTATTTTATATTTACTTTGTGACATAATACTACAAACATTTTTTCAGAAATTTGTTTTTATTTTAAATATGTTCAAAATCGGATTCATTTTAAAATTAATTTTATTACATTTGGGAACCATACCTTTTCTGCATAAAAGAATTTAATTTCCAGTTTTATAATGAAAACAAAGGAGAGAAATTGGAATACAATGATTTATCTTATACCTATCTTTTCTGAAACGTATTTTACAGTGTGACACACCTATGTGTAACTTCATCACCACATATATTAACAAAACAACCAGATTCATAAGTAATTAGTATTCATGATGGTACAGGTAATGCAGCTCTCCATAGAATAAATTCTTAACTTCGTGTCTCTGGGGGTATGTTATAGAACTCATGTGATCTATTAACTTGGATGAGGAAAATTTGTCATTATTTTCACTTACCTCTGACTTAAATGGACATTGTCTTCAATAATGTATACAGGCAACAAAACACAGTAGTATCAGCAGTACCTTAGATTTCTTTGTCACCAACAGAAATCACAGATATCTTATTACATTATAGTTGCAGATTATCTCAAAATATTCACACTCGCCACTACTTAAAAATTAAAAGTTATTAGACCTATTGTTAGATATTGTTGTTTAATACACTTAAGGAAGTTCATACATTACTATGTATTTTATTTTCTGCATTTGAAAACATTATTCTGAGAAGAGGCTGTAGCACAAAAAATGGTTAGGAATCCACTGGTGGTTCTGCTGTATCTCTACTGCCATCTGGTGGGAACCATTGCTCAGTACAAGTGAAAAGTGTGCAACAAGTTTTATCAAGCAGAAAACACTATATAGTAGGCATGTGACAAATAATTATTTTACGTAAATCTCAGTGTGTCAAATTTGCTTAACAATGTCCATCAACTGACTAAGTTCTCTAGCACTTCTAAATACTTCCTTAATTTATATTCTTGTTCAAAGTTTGGTGAAAGATTCAGCTTACCCCAATTTCCTGAATTAGAAAGAATCTTTTGCCTTTAGATCACCCCTCAAAATTTCTTAAAAGTCTTCAAGATTTTAATTTATTCACAACTTAAAACAGAGATTATTAGCAAGAGTAATATGTATCAGAATCCCCTGTAAAGCTCTTCCTAAAATCCACCTGCTTAGAGGCCTCAGCTCTGGAGATTCAGATTTATAATTCTTGGTAGAGTCTGGACCTATGGATTTTGAGAAAAAAAAAAACCCTCAAGTAATTGTGATATGGATCTCTCTGGTTTAGAACCACTTAGCCTGTCATTTGATTCATCTTTTTGAAAAGCTTCATCTCAAAGGCCAGGCGTGGTAGCTCAAGCATGTAATCCCAGCACTTTGGGAGGCCGAGGTGGGAGGATCACAAGGTTAGGAGATCAAGACCATCCTGGCTAACACAGTGAAAGCCCGTCTCTACCAAAAATACAAAAAATTAGCTGGGTTTGGTGGCAGGTGCCTGTAGTCTCAGTTACTTGGGAGGCTGAGACAGGAGAATCGCTTGAACCCGGGAGGCAGAGGTTACAGTGAGCCAAGATCGCACCACTGCACTCCAGCCTGGGTGACAGAGCGAGACTCCATCTCAAAAAAAAAAAAAAAAAAAGCTTCATCTCATGCTCTTATAAGCAACTAAGAATTATATCTTTCTAAGAAATTTCTTCATCTCTTGAATGGATTAAGGGCTCTCTTACACTCCCAAAGAATAAGCTGTCATAAAACTCTTCTTGAATCTGAATGCCCTAATCATCATGATGCATTCCTTTGCAATTTTATACGTTTGCTCTCTAATAAGAACATTTTCTGCTTAAAGCTTTTTAGCAGACTATTCAAAAAGTTGGTGTTATTACAAATAGGAAAGAAATATGTTTAAAGTTATAAGACAGCAATGAATTATAGTCTCAAATAGCCCTTATGTGATATCTGATAATATCACATAACTGATAATTTAGTTCACATGTTATCTCATTGATATTTTAAGCAAGTTAGTTACAAAAAAAAGGACAGATAACTAATAAATTGCTGAGTGAAGTTAGGATTGTTACAAATTTTCTTTTGGTTTCTTGTATATAAAATCAGGATGACATTCAGCATTCAGCTTCTTAGCAACTCAAATACTTAAAGACACTAGTCACTATAAAGTACTTTCTCAAACTTTTCCATTCCTTTTTTCTCTGTGTGCTTCAGTTTGGCTATTTTTTATTGACTTGTCTTTGAATTCATTAATTCTGTGCTTTCTGGTAAATAGTCTGCTGTTAAACCCATACAATGAGTTCTTAATTTCGGGTACTGTATTTTTCACTTCTAGAATATCCACTAGAATTTTTTAACAGAGTCCAAGTCCCTGTGACATTCTCCATCTTTTCATCCATTTTGTCCATCTTTTTTTCTATTTAATATATTAATTATAGTTATTGTAAAGTCCTTTTCAGTTAACTTCAATATTTAGGTCATCTGTGGGTCTGCTGTTATTGTTATATTTATGTATTTTTTCTTTTGACTGTCAGTCACATCTTCCTGCCTTTTTGCATAACTAGTATTTTGTTTGTTTGTATACTGGACATTATGTATAAAAGAAAGGTAGAAGCTCCAGAAGATAAAGGGCACCAGACAGGGGTGCCCTTGCTCTCTTTACAAAGGGTGAAACACTTATCATCTCAATCTAGTCAGGCATTGAGCTGGGTCTGGGCTGCGTTCTAATTTTAGTAAGAGTCAGTTAACCTCTGGTTCCTCCCAGTTCACCTATGGCACTCCCAAGCTTCTGACTGACAGACTGACTAGTTTCTCTCTCCACAGCACCAAAAAACTGTAGGAAATTCGATTTTGCCCTTAAGAGGTTTTGAGTTTGGCTATTTAGTCTCCGAATCCACAAAAAATCTGGCAACTACCATGAGGGGGACATGAATCATGCATATGTGGCACATGCCCTCTCTCTAGAAGAGGAATTGGCAAACTTTTCTGCAAAAGGTCAGTAGTAAATATTTTTGACTTGGTGAACCATATGGTCTCTGTCACAAGTGCTCGACTCTGCCATTGTAGTTTAAAAGCAGCCGTAGACAATACATAGATCAATGTGTGTGGGTATGTTCTAATAAAACATTATTTCTGGACATTGAGATCTGAATTTCATGTCATTTTCACTTGCTATGAAATATTATCCCTTTGATTTTTTTTCAACCGTCACTGTTAGCTTGCAGAATATACAAAAATAGTGAGTCAGGACACCTCATACATGTGGGTGCCCCTCTGGGACAAAGCTTCCAGAAGAAGGATCAGGCAGCAATATTTTCTGTTCTGCAATATTTGCTGTTCTGCAGCCTCCGCTCGGTATACCCAAGCAAACACGGTCTGGAGTGGACCTTTAGCAAATTCCAACATACCTGCAGCTGAGGGTCCTGAGTGTTAGAAGGAAAACTAACAAACAGAAAGGAATAGCATCAACATCAACAAAAACGACATCCACACCAAAACCCCATCTCTAGATCACCAGCATCAAAGACCAAAGGTAGATAAAACCACAAAGATGGGGAGAAACCAGAGTAGAAAATCTGAAAATTCTAAAAACCAGAGCACCTCTTCTCCTCCAAAGGATCACAGCTCCTCGCCATCAATGGAACAAAGCTGGATGGAGAATGACTTTGACGAACTGACAGAAGTAGGCTTCAGAAGGTCGGTAATAACAAACTTCTCCAAGCTAAAGGAGAATGTTCGAACCCACCGCAAGGAAGTTAAAAACCTTGAAAACAGATTAGATGAATGGCTAACTAGAACAGTGTAGAGAAGACCTTAAATGACCTGATGGAGCTGAAAATCATGGCACGAGAGCTACATGACTCATGCACAAGCTTCAACAGTTGATTTGATCAAGTGAAGAAAGGGTATCAGTGACTGAATTAATGAAAAATTAATGAAATAAAGTGAGAAGAGAAGTTTAGAGACAAAAGAGTAAAAAGAAATGAAGAAAGCCTCCAAGAAATATGGGACTATGAGAAAAGACCAAATCTACGTTTGATGGGTGTACCTGAAAGTGACGGGGAGAATGGAACCAAGTTGGAAAACACTCTGCAGGATATTATCTAGGAGAACTTCCCCAACCTAGCAAGGCAGGCCAACATTCAAATTCAGGAAATACAGAGAACACCACAAAGATACTAATCGAGAATAGCAACCCCAAGACACATAACTGTCAGATTCACCTAAGTTGAAATGAAGGAAAAAATGTTAAGGGCAGCCAGAGAGAAAGGTCAGGTTACCCACAAAGGGAAGCCTATCAGACTAACAGCGGATTTCTCAGCAGAAACTCTACAAGCCAGAAGAGAGTGGGGGCCGATATTCAACATTCTTAAAGAAAAGAATTTCCAACCCAGAATTTCATATCCAGCCAAACTAAGCTTTATAAGTGAAGGAGAAATAAAATCCTTTACAAACAAGCAAATGCTGAGAGATTTTGTCAACATCAGGCCTGTCTTAAAAGAGCTCCTGAAGGAAGCACTAAACATGGAAAGGAACAACCGGTACCACTGCAAAAACATGCCAAATTGTAAAGACCATCGATGCTAGGAAAAAACTGCATCAACTAATGGGCAAAATAACCAGCTAACATCATAACGACAGGATCAAATTCACACATAACAATATTAACCTTAAATGTAAATGGGCTAAATGCCCCAATTAAAAGACACAGACTGGCAAATTGGATAAAGAGTCAAGACCCATCAGTGTGCTGGATTCAGGAGACTGATCTCACATGCAGAGACACACATAGGCTCAAAATAAAGGGAAGGTGGAAGATCTAACAAGCAGATGGAAAGCAAAAAAAAGCAGGGGTTGCAATCCTAGTCTCCAATAAAACAGACTTTTAACCAACAAACATCAAAAGAGACAAAGAAGGCCATTACATAATGGTAAAGGGAACAATTCAACAAGAAGTGCTAACTATCCTAAATATATATGCACCCAATACAGGAGCACCCAGATTCATAAAGCAAGTCCTTAATGACCTACAAAGAGACTTTAGACTCCCACACAATAATAATGGGAGACTTTAACACCCCACTGTCAATATTAGACAGATCAATGACACAGAAGGTTAACAAGGATATCCAGGACTTGAACTCAGCTCTGCACCAAGCAGATCTAATAGACATCTACAGAACTCTCCACCCCAAATCAACAGAATATACATTCTTCTCAGCACCACATTATACTTATTCCAAAATTGACCACAGAGTTGGAAGTAAAGCACTCCTCAGCAAATGTAAAAGAACAGAAATCACAACAAACTGTCTCTCAGACCACAGTGCAATCAAATTAGAACTCAGGATTAAGAAACTCACTCAAAACCGCACAACTACATGGAAACTGAATAACCTGCTCCTGAATGACTACTGGGTACATAACGAAATGAAGGCAGAAATAAAGATGTTCTTTCAAACCAACGAAAACAAAGACACAACGTACCAGAATCTCTGGGACACATTTAAAGCAGTGTGTAGAAGGAAATTTATAGCACTAAATGCCCACAAGAGAAAGCAGGAAAGATCTAAAATTGACACCCTAACATCACAATTAAAAGAACTAGAGAAGCAAGAGCAAACACATTCAAAAGCTAGCAGAAGGCAAGAAATAACTAAGATCAGAGCAAAACTGAAAAAGATAGAGACACAAAAAACCCTTCAAAAAATCAATGAATCCAGGAGCTGATTATTTGAAAAGATCAACAAAATTGATAGACTGCTGGCAAGACTAATAAAGAAGAAAAGAGAGAAGAATCAAATAGATGCAATAAAAAATGATAAAGGGGATATCACCACCAATCCCACAGAAATACAAACTACCATCAGAGAATACTATGAACACCTCTACGCAAATAAACTAGAAAATCTAGAAGAAATGGATAAATTCCTGGACACATACACCCTCCCAAGACTAAACCAGGAAGAAGCTGAATCTCTGAAGAGACCAATAACAGGCTCTGAAATTGAGGCAATAATTAATAGCCTACCAACCAAAAAAAGTACAGGACCAGACAGTTTCACAGCCGAAATCTACCAGAGATACAAAGAGGAGCTGGTACCATTCCTTCTGAAACTATTCCAATCAATAGAAAAAGAGGGAATTCTCACTAACTCATTTTCTGAGGCCAGCATCATCCTGATACCAAACCCTGGCAGAGACACAACAAAAAAAGAGAATTTTAGACCAATATTCCTGATGAACATCGATGTGAAAATCCTCAATAAAATACTGGCAAACCGAATCAACAAGCACATCAAAAAGCTTATCCACCACAATTAAGTCGGCTTCCTCCCTGGGATGCAAGGCTGGTTCAACATACACAAATCAATAAATGTAATCCAGCATATAAACAGAACCAACGACAAAAACCACATGATTATCTCAATAGATGCAGAAAACCCTTCGACAAAATTCAACTGCCCTTCCTGTTAAAAACTCTCAATAAACTAGACATTGATGGAACATATCTAAATATAATAAAAGCTATTTATGACAAACCCACAGCCAGTGTCATACTGAATGGGCAAAAACTGGAAGCATTCCCTTTGAAAACAGGCACAAGACAGGGGTGCCCTCTCTCACCACTCCCATTCAACATGGTGTTGGAAGTTCTGGCCAGGGCAATCAGGCAAGAGAAAGAAATAAAGGGTATTCAATTAGGAAAAGAGGAAGTCAAATTGTCCCTGTTTGCAGATGACATGATTGTATATTTAGAAAACCCCATCGTCTCGGCCCAAAATCTCCTTAAGCTGAGAAGCAATTTCAGCAAAGTCTCAGGATACAAAATCAATGTGCAAAAATCACAAGCATTCTTATACACCATTAACAGACAAACAGAGAGCCAAATCATGAGTGAATTCCCATTCACAATTGCTACAAAGAGAATAAAATACCTAGGAATTCAACTTACAAGGGATGTGAAGGACCTCTTCAACAGAACTATAAACCACTGCTCAACAAAATAAAAGAGGACACAAATAAATGGAAGAACAGTCCATGATCATGGATAGGAACAATCAATATTGTGAAAATGGCCATACTGCCCAAGGTAATTTATAGATTCAATGCCATCCCCATCAAGCTACCAATGACTTTCTTCACAGAATTGGAAAAAAACTACTTTAAAGTTCATATGGAACCAAAAAAGAGCCCGCATCGCCAAGTCAATCCTAAGCCAAAAGAACAAAGCTGGAGGCATCACGCTACCTGACTTCAAACTATACTACAAGGCTACACTAACCAAAACAGCATGGTACTGGTACCAAAACAGAGAGATAGACCAATGGAACAGAACAGACACCTCAGAAGTAACACCACACATCTACAACCATCTGATCTTTGACAAACCTGACAAAAACAAGAAATGGGGAAAGGATTCCCTATTTAATAAATGGTGCTGGGAAAACTGGCTAGTCATATGTAGAAAGCTGAAACTGGATCCCTTCCTTACACCTTATACAAAAATTAATTCAAGATGGATTAAAGACTTAAATGTTAGACTTAAAACCATAAAAACCCTAGAATAAAACTTAGGCAATACCATTCAGGACATAGGCATGGGCAAGGACTTCATGACTAAAACACCAAAAGCAATGGCAACAAAAGCCAAAATTGACAAATGGGATCTAATTAAACTAAAGAGCTTCTTCACAGCAAAAGAAACTACCATCAGAGTGAACAGGCAACCTACAGAATGGGAGAAAATTTTTGCAATCTACCCATCTGACAAAGGGTTAATATCCAGAATCTACAAAGAACTTAAACAAATTTACAAGAAAAAAACAACCCCATCAAAAAGTGGGTAAAGGATATGAACAGACACTTCTCAAAAGAAGACATTTATGCAGTCAACAGACACATGAAAAAATGCTCATCATCACTGCAAATCAAAACCACAATGAGATACCATCTCACACCAGTTAGAATGGTGATCATTAAAAAGTCAAGAAAAAACAGATGCTGGAGAGGATGTGGAGAAATAGGAATGCTTTTACACTGTTGGTGGGAGTGTAAATTAGTTCAACCATTCTGGAAGAGAGTGTGGCGATTCCTCAAGGATCTAGAGCTAGAAATACCATTTGACCCAGCCATCCCATTACTGGGTATATACCCAAAGGATTATAAATCATGCTACTATAAACACACATGTACACATATGTTTATTGTGGCACTATTCACAATAGCAAAAACATGGAACCAACCCAAATGTCCATCAATGATAGACTGGATTAAGAAAATGTGGCACATATACACCATGGAATACTATGCAGCCATAAAAAAGGATGAGTTCATGTCCTTTGCAGGGACATGGATGAAGCTGGAAACCATCATTCTGAGCAGACTATCAAAAGGACAGAAAACCAAACACCGTATATCCTCACTCATAGGTGGGAATTGAACAATGAGAACACTTGTACACAGGGTGGGGAACATCATACACAGGGGCCTGTTGTGGGGTGGGGGGCAGGAGGAGGGATAGCATTAGGAGAAATACCTCACGTAAATGATGAGTTAATGGGTGCAGCAAACCAACAATGGCACATGTATACCTATGTAACAAACCTGCATGTTGTGCACATGTACCCTAGAACTTAAAGTATAATTAAAAAAATATATATATATGTGTGTGTATATATATATATATATGTATATATATATATACGTGTATATACATATACGTATATATATACATACATATATATACGTATATATATATATATATATATAAGTTTAGCAAATTTATCACCTAAAAAAAAACATAGTCAGAGTTGGCATACAGGCCATAGTTTGTCAACTTCTGCTTTAGAGGGACATTAATCTTGCAAGACTGTGAGAGATTTCATTCTGCTTTCATCAGATTCTTGAAGAGGTCTATGACACCAAATTCTAAATTTGTGATTCCCAAAATAGCAATTTTCTCCATTAATGTACATGAGATGGTAGAGAACAACCAAACTCATATTCAGAGCCACAACATATAGTTGGACAGTACACCCTACCTGTTCTGTATGGTGATAAGTTATAGCCATGGCTAGGCTCACTAGGTAAGTGACTTGCTCTTTAAGTATGCTCAATGAAAATCTGTTTCTCATCAAAATGGCTAACTGCTCTAGGCAAATAATAATAATGATATATTTTAATATCCACTGATACCCCTTAGTATGTCCCTGGCATTACAGTTAGTGCTTTACATGCAATATCTCACTTAATCCTCACAACCATGTGAGAACTATTATTGTCCCCTTTTTGTTGAATGAGGAGACTGAGGCTTGAGGTGTTTGATAACTTGCCCCAGGTAACAGAACTAGTAAATGCTGGATCTGGGATTTCGATTCAAGTCTTATTCTATAACCTGTGCTCACAATCACTACTGTTTCTCATGGCCAAAAAAAAAAAAATGTTTTATTCTACATATGAAACGTGGAAATGGTGAATCCCAAGGTTATACTGTATAATAAACGCCAAATGATATATTGTTATGTACTGCGTGTTGGTGTCCCCCCAAAATTCACATGTTGAGACCCTATCTCCCCCATTGTGATGGTATTAGGAGATGGAGAGCTTTAGGAAGTGGTTAGAATTAGAGGAAGTGATGAGGGTACAGCCTTTGTGAATGGGATCAGTAGTGCCCTTATGAATCTTGAGAGAGCCTGCTTCCCTCTCTTCTCTGCCATGTGAGAATACAATGAGAAGTAGGCTGTCTACAAGCCAGAAGAGGGTCTTCACCAGAACCTGACCATGTTGGCACCCTGATCTCAGAATTTCAGTCTCTAGAACTGTGAGAAATAAATTTCTGTTGTTTATAAGCCACCCAGTCTATGGTATTTTTTACAGCAGCTCAAACTGACCAAGACATCTATGATAAGAATGAGTAAGTAGCACTGGCATCTCTTTCTCCCTCTGCATTGTCTCCATAGAATGCTTTTCATATACCACATCACCCAAGACAGGCAAATAAAGGGTTCCAGAATCTAGATGTGTGAGGAAAAGACATTAGCTTGGAAAGGTTTTGGTCCCACTGTTAAGCTGTAGTATGTTTCATCTTCATAAAGATACTCTGGAATTAAAAGGCATGTGGAAAAATGACCATACATTATATTCTTGTGAGAATATGGTCACTGGTAGATTATTCAGAGTCTAAAAACTGTATAGCTCCTCTTGATTAGAAAAGAGAGAGGACAGAGGAAAATAGTAAAACTCATATCATGTTTGTTATTCAATGACAGTTTTTATGAAGATTAAGTGAGAGGAGGAGGCTGAAATTAGAGACTAACTTCCAGTTTTAAATTAGATAATCTATAGACAATGGAAAGAACTTAGACTTTGATGTCAAGAAGATCTAGGCCATAAACAGAACTCTGCTACTCACAAGCTATATGATTTGGGGCAACTTATTTTAGCTCCCTGAGTCTCAGTCTCTTCATCATAAAATGGGAATAATTACCGATCCAGCAGAGGTTTTTGTTTTGCTTTGTGGGTAAGGGCTGAATAACATAATATACTTCTAGCTCTCTGCATCACAGTATGTGCTCGATAAAGGGTGCATATTATTATTATTCCCCAACCGCTGAATTAGCCACCTTCCTTTGCAATAAGACAACTTAGCGGGTTTTATAATTCACATTGTAATTATATAGATATCTATATAGGTATCTATATAGATAAACCTATGCAAATCAATATGAATACATTGTCAAAATGGTATTAAACACTTTGTCACCTTCTTTTTGATCACAGTAAAATCACAGCAGTATTTGTTTAGAAAGTATAATTGTCACTGCTTGGTCCCACAAAGTGTTTATTGCCAGTATGGAATACTAGCAATGTTATAAGTATTATAATGGATAATATTTCTAATATTTGATGCTGAAAGTTCTTTTGGTGCCTAAACTTAGTAAAACTAAACTTAATAAAAATAAAAGTCTTAAGATTGACAGGGAGACTGATAGGTAAATAGCACAAAAAATGGAAGCTGACATTTCTTTATGTAGGTGTGACTCATCCCTTTAAAATTACAGAATCTAGAAAGGCCCATTTTCCCCCACCTAATAGCTCAAATTTATAAAGTTATATTAAATGCTTCACCTAATCAACCTGTCAGTGTTACTCTATATACTCACATTAAAAGATCTATATTATGAACTATGTGATAATTTAAAGCAATTGCAGATACTTAAGTACCTCATAACCTAAAAAGAAACAGAAACCACAGATATGAGAAAGACAAAATATTTATGGGGAGAACACATCTTAAGTTCAAACCACTAATGATAATGCTATCAAATTATTTAAGAAAAGAATGAAAACAAAATTGACTTATACCCAACAAACCTGAAGTGGATTCTGATTTGGTCTTTGCTTCAGAGCTGAGTTCTGTTGGCAAGGGCACTGAGTGTTTCAAGACGTGAGTTGTTTTTGCAGGTACTTCTATTTCGGAAGAGGATCCTAGCTGTTTACCAAACAGATTTTTCCTTCATAAGTAAATCATTTTACTATTTCCTTCATCTACTTTCTCATTTTATCCTCGACCTCTGTCCAGTACCCTCATTACAAGCCAACACCCACCCAAACAAAACTCAATGTTGACCGTCTTGCTCCATGTAAACTCTACCTTAGTTTTTTCTTTAGGTTTAGGGAGTGACTCTTCTTTGCTGCTTTTTGTCCACAATGATTTAACTGCTCCAAAAATTTGCTGGCTTGTAGCATATACCTTTTTTGCTGTTACCTAATTAAAACAAAAAGTAAGTCAAATAACATATTTTTAAAAGTTAAAATTAAAAATGTATTTTAGATTTGTCAGGTATTTTATATGAACACTCAAGTCAGAATCAATAAAGATATAAATCTCTAAATCATATAACACAAAGCACCATTTCTAAAATCTTATATGAAAAATTTTTTGTGTCATGCAAAGGTTATAAGAAATGTATAATCTGCATTCACATTGTAACATAAATTTAAAACTATGTCTATTTTTTTAATTTTTTTCAGCTTTAGTGAGATTAGATTGACATATATAAAATTGTATCTATTTAAGGTATATAACACGGTGATTTGATATAAGTGAAAACTGTGTCTATTAACAGGAGTTTGGGGAATATAGTTTGAGATAATAAACTGCTGACTGAGAAAATGAGATTTTTAACATGCTACAAAGTTAATGCTTTTGCTTAAAATTTGATGGTGCTTTCTCCATTCATAAAGAAATAAAAGGCATCAACTAATTCCTCCAAAGAATAATATTCTTTTTTGGTAGAAAGGTAAAATAAACAATGACTGATAAATATACTCAAGCAGAGGCCAGGATGCTGGCTGAATTCCTAAAGTTACCGTTATTTTCATTCATCTCTATTTCTCTTTGAAAATCTACTTCTGATTTCTTCTTTTTCCTATTCTTCTCCAATGCTTTTGTTCATTTTAGTTAAAGTAATTTCAACAGCCATTGATTTTTCAAGTTTTGAAGATGTTTTGAGGTATTTTTCAGGATTATAATTTCTACAAACATAAATTTTTTAAAAATTATGTTTCCATCCTCAAATAGAAATATTTTTATTGTTTTTACTAAGTATATACCTACAGTTGAAAAGTTAAGTAATATACTAATATAAAGAAATTCCTCTTCCTCCCCAAATATAACCTTTGTTAACAGTTATACATATATCCTTCCTCAATTTTTACTCATCTATACATTATATATACACAAATTTTAAAACAAATGTAATATTAATATTTACAGATCTTTCAAAAAAGATGAAGTAGATCTATATGTACTGGCATGAATGGAAGTCCATGATGAACCACTAATTTGAAAAAGTTACAGAATAGATTATACAATACAATCTCAATTATGTTTTCAATTAAATTTTAAAATAAATTACATATGTATTTAGTTTGTTTTCCTTTTCAAATACTTGAGATCACAGTACACATATTATTCTGAGATATGATTTTTTTAAAAGCTTGACAGTATTTCAAAGGCACGGTTCTATATTACTTTATATACCGTAGATCTACTTTTTAAATTTGCTGCTTAGTTTAGCATTCTATAATGTATGCACCACAATTTGTTTAACAAATTCCCTATTGAGGCACGATGATTTAACAAATCCCGTTGGTGAGCATATGGGCTGTTTTCCTTTTTGGGGGTAGGGAGATGGCAAGTATAAGCAATGATGAAATTAGCATCCTTATACATACAACTGGGACCATAACCCTTATAGTATTTCCTCAGGATAAATTCCTAGAGCTGAAATTTCTGCACTGAAGCGTATACACATATTAATTTTTGACAGTATTACCATGTTGCTCTCCAGAAAGTCAGCAATATACTGCAGCAATTTACACTACCACCAAGAGTATATGTCTGTTTTCCTACCCTATTTACCAGCAGTGATATTATAAGTCTTTTAAATCTTTGTCAAATTTAAAGGCTAAAAACCAATATCTAAATGATTTTTCAAATTTGCATTTATTTGTTGATGAAATCAAGTATCTTACATATATTAGGCCATTTATGTTTCTTATTTTGTAGACTGCTTTTTTCATTTTCCCAGAGGGCACATTCATCTTTTGCTCATTGATTTATAGGAGTTCTTTTTTTTGTTTGTTTTTTTTGAGACGGAGTCTCTCTCTGTCACCCAGGCTGGAGTACAGTGGCGTGATCTCAGCTCACTGCAAGCTCCGCCTCCCAGATTCATGCCCATTCTCCTGTCTCAGCTTCCCGAGTAGCTGGGACTACAGGCGCACGCCACCATACCCACGCCACCATGCCCGGCTAATTTTTTGTATTTTTAGTAGAGACGGGGTTTCACCGTGTTAGCCAGGATGGTCTCGATCTCCTGACCTCGTGATCCGTCTGCCTCGGCTTCCCAAAGTGCTGGGATTACAGGCATGAGCCACCACGCCTGGCCAGGAGTTCTTAATACATGAAGGATATTAGTACTTTGTCATATATGTTACAAATAGTTTTCCAAGTTTTTCATGTATCCATTAACTTTGTGTATGGTATATTGTAATCTACAGAAATGTATTAATTTTGATGTAGTCAAATATGTCAACTTTTTCTTTAATGGCTTCTAGATTGTATTTTGCTTAAGAAAGCTGTTCCTATCTCAAGATTAAACAGGTATTCCTCTTATTTCTTCTCATACCTTTTATAGTATTCTAGTTTATGATTAGATCTGTATTCCACCTAGAATTAGTTTTCCCATGATAGTTGGTAAAGGTCTGAGTAATTCTACAAACAGCCAATTATCCCAACATATTTCTTGGAAAAAAAAAATCCATCCTTTCCATTACACACTGATCTGAAATGCCACCTGTACCACGTATCAATCCCCTACCCTCATGTGTACAAAAATATACTCAATATAATTGTTTGGATATTCTCTTTTGTCCTCTTGATCTATTTTATTGTGTATACTATAGTAACCAATACACAGTAGACAGACAACAAATACTAGATGAATGAATGTCACACTCCATTCAAATCCAGAGCTTTTGTAAGAACTGAATTAAATTTCTAGACTTTGAAATACTCGCCGTATTTCAACATTTAGTCTTTCATCGAGAAACAGGATATATGCCCAAAGACATTCAAGATTTTTTGTTAAATATCCTTCACATATAAGTGAGATCAAACAGTATTTGTCTTTCTGTGTCTATCTTATTTCACTGAGTATAATGTCCTCTGGGTTATCCATGCCATTGCAAATGGCAGAATTTCCGTTTTTAATGGTTAAATAGCAGTCTGTTGTAGTATATATGTACCAAATTATCTTTATCCCTTTATCTACTGAGAGACACTTAGGTTGTTTCTAATCTTGACTATTGTGAATAATGCTGCAATGAACATGGAGGTGCATATATCTCTTCAAGATACTGATTTCATTTTTTTTTTTTTTGGACATATACGCAGAATAGAAGCAGAGAGTAGAATGGAGGTTGCCAGGGGATAGCAGTGAGGTAAATGAGATGTTGGTCAAAGGGTACAAACTTTCAGTCATAAGATGAACAAGTTCTGGGTATATAATGTGCTGCATGGGTGGTGATGGATATGTTAATTTGATTGTAATAATCATTACACAATGTATATGTATGTCAAATCATCATGTTGTACACCTTGAATATATTCAATCTTTATTCATCAATTAAATATTGTGAAAATTTAAAAATACCCTTCAGTAAAGTTTGATAGTTTATTTTTCTTTTAAACAGGCGTTAAAACATTATTTGGTAAGTCTATTCCTAGATATTTCATAGCTTTCAAAGACAGACTACTTGCTACTCTTTACATAAGTTAATAATAAAAATATTGTGAGGAAAATTATAAAAAGCGAAGAGTAATTCCATCTTGAAGTCTATTTTCAAAATGATGAGTAACTGGAGTGAGTCTTTTGTTTTTCAAAGGACCTTCTAGACTTATCATTTCTTAAACTTTTTAATATCACAGATACCTTGGAGAAGCTCTTAAAAGCTATAGGCCCTTTCCTTCAGAAAAACACAGATACACTAAAAAGCTCTCACCTGACATTCTTTTAGGAGACTTGACTGATTAATAAAATGTTTTTTTAATTTATTATAAATGATGTTTGTAGAATGTTGAATATTCATCCCTATCAGGTGCTCTCCAATATGCTAAGGTACTATCTTTCACAAGTTGATTAGTATGCTTATTAAGTTCCTTTTTTCCCCAAGTTGCTGCATCAGTTTTACTTATAATTAAACAGTCTAAATGTAACTTAATATGATAAAATATGAGTTTAAAAAGAATTATTGTTTCTAGGAAAATTAAGTTAAATGCTTCGTAAAGACTCAAATGTGAATGGCTAAAAAAATAACTGCTATGAAATTAGAGGTGAGCAAGACAATTATAACAGCTGGGAGAAATAAACATCTAAAAGGATTCTGCACTCAATTTTTTTTAATGTTTTTAACTGTTCATTCTATTTTAAAAGAACCTAATCTGGAAATTGTAGAAGACATACTACAGATATGGCTTACTGTTGGAAAGATGTTATAGATCTTTAACCAGGAGACCAATACTCAAAGAAAAGCCCTACTTCAAAATAGAGAAAAAGGAAAGATTTTTTTTTTTTTTTTTTTTTTTTTTTAGAGATGGCGTCTCACTCTGTCACCCAGGCTGGAGTGCAGTGGTGCAATCTCGGCTCACTGCAATCTCCGCCACCTGGGTTCATGTGATTCTCGTGCCTCAGCCTCCTGAGTAGATGGAATTGCAGGCGCCTGCCACCAGGCCTGGCTAATTTTTGTATTTTTACTAGAGACGGGGTTTCAACACATTGGTCATGCCGAAGAAAGACATTTATGTTTTAATTTCAAGTAAAATTGTGGGTATACATTTTTATATATATTTTTACAACTCGCTGCTTTAACATTTTTGATTAATTGTTAACTACTGGTCCTGATTATGTCAAATAAGAAGGTTTTTCTTGTACATACGTGACTTTTCATAAAGTTTTGGATAGGAGGGTGTGCTATAGACTCTCTAAAGTCCATCATGGATCTCAGGTTAAAAAAAAATCATATATTTGAATTTGTAAAATATTACTTGATATTATTATAGTCAAAAGAAAAGCAAGGATTTCAACTCTAAGAATTAAAGTAACAATTATTATTTACCCTAGAAGAACATTTAAAAATTAATCTCTTATATTAGAAAAATTTTTATTTGAAGTTCAGCAATTATTTTGTTTTTCCTTTTGTAAAGTAAAATTCAGTTTAATACTTTATTTTAAAAAATAAAAATAAGACACATACTATGATCTCATTCTTATCTGCCTATTCATAATCAGTTTTTCTATCTCTGTGTATGCATGTGAAGATGTCTAGAAGAACATTCTATCCAAATGTGGACATGGATATTTGTATGGATAGATGCATTTTGGGTTGTTGTTTTTTTCCTAAACTTTTCTGAAATATTTAGATTATCTAAAGATAAGCAGGTATAATTTTTAAAAGCAACCATGATGTCATTACTCTTAGAAAAAAGAAGAATCAGGGCCGGGCACGGTGGCTCACGCCTGTAATCCCAGCACTTTGGGAGGCCGAGGCGGATGGATCACCTGAGGTCAGGAGTTCGAGACCAGCCTGGCCAGCCTGGTGAAACCCCATCTCTACTAAAAATACAAAAATTAGCTGGACGTGGTGGTGGGAGCCTGTAATCCCAGCTACTCAGGAGGCTGAGGCAGGAGAATCACTTGAACCCAGGAGGCAGAGGCTACAGTGAGCCAAGATTGGGCCATTGCACTCCAGCCTGGGTGACAGAGAAAGACCCCATCTCAAAAAAAAAAAGAAAAAAAAAAAAAAAGAAGAAGAATCAGTGGAAGCATCATCCACTGGGAGGAGTAATGAACATGGAGGCCAAAATATCTGAAGGTCAGTATGATGCTGGGCAAGTCAGTCACTGTGAAACTCCTCTGAGCTACTGTTTCCCTATAGATAAATGAGAAAAGATCAAAGTTGAATTAAATGAGCTTAACAGTTT
This sequence comes from Homo sapiens, assembly GCF_000001405.40. Lineage (NCBI taxonomy): Eukaryota > Metazoa > Chordata > Mammalia > Primates > Hominidae > Homo > Homo sapiens. The sequence continues at coordinate 85,068,219 of NC_000023.11, read as the reverse complement.
CTTTCAATACTAGCATTTTATTAATTTAAGTGGTTAATTCCTATGTAAATTATTAAGAAAGAGTTTTAAAAATAAGTTTACCATGTTATCAATTATTTCAGGTATAAGTAGACTTAATGAATAATGCTCTCTTCCTTTGTTATGAGCTTTTATAGTTTGATCACATTACAAACTACATAGTACACCATATCCTCGACATTCTCAAAATATTGATAGGCAACTTTCTCTATATCAATAGTTAAAGGGATGAAGTAATGGGAATACAAGTACAGAAAGTCCTTCTGGTAACACTACACATTGTTTCAAGCATGAGGGGGAAATGCTAACTGTTGGTAATTAAGAGGAGAAGGAAAAGAGGGGAAAAAATGCATAACCCAAAGTTTTCCTTCTCCATCTGAACATGTGTTAAAAATAAAACACTGAAAAAAACTGTTCAAATCATTAAGAGAATCTGGATTTGTACTTAAGCTCACAAGAAAAAGACAGAACTATAACAAGCATTTATACAGGTGTTTCTTAATTCTAAGTGGTTTCCATATTGAGTTCCTGTGCGTGTGTGTGTGTGTGTGTGTGTGTGTGTGTGTGTGTGTGTTTTACCTTCAGAAACCACTGAAACCAATCTATCAACTGGTTGTTTCTTATGTCAGGTTAATCTGCTGAACCAAACAGCTGCTAGCATTTTAATCTTCTTTTAAATAAAAATTGAAGTTTATATATCTCAACAATGGAGCAGTATTTCTCCCCATAAATTCTAATTCAGTGTCTCTGAACGTAATCCTCAAATCTGCCTTTACATTGTTGAATTATATTTACACAAATTCATCTTATTAACAATGGCATTTACCATACTGAGATGCTAATGTGATTTGGCCAACATAAGAGTTGATACCAACTATGTCTCTTAAAATTAAATGTTGCAGGTGCTGTGTAACATTTAAATATTGTCACATTGAGAGTTTAAACAAATACTGAAATGTTGCTATTATTTAAAAAGAACTTACCTTAGCAATTATTACGGACTGAACTGGGTAGCAAACAGTTGCTCCTAAAGTGGCCAGTCCCAGAGGATAAGTAATTTTCTTAAACTTGGAACCTATAAAATGCAAATATATTATTAAACTCCAAATATATACCACCAGAGACTTGATGTTCTTATACCGTAATGCTTTCTTTGCTCTCCTGGTAAGCCATCACCCTCTGTTAAATTACTTTTTAGGTAATTATACCAATCAAGATGGAAGCTAAAATGCCCTTAAGGATCTCAAGCCAATAGCCCCTTAGCTGTCATGTCCAATTTAACAAAAGTATTCTCAATCTAATACTCACAATTACCTACACAAAAGGAATTGATGATTTTCTTCTGCTTGAAAGCTAGGTATTTTTCATGTCCTACGAAACCCAAATTTATAACCACAATTTTGCAAGTATCTAATAAAGCATGATAATATAGATAATTAGTTAACTACTGTGTGACACCATGTAAAAGTGAAATGGACTCTCTCTTACATGTCCTTTTTTGATTAAGTATTTGGAAAGGTGAATGACTCAACTAAATCATCAACTAAGGACTTTAACAGGTACATAACTCCTTCATGTCACTGACTTAGAATACTGAATAATAATTGCAAGTAACCTGACATAAGTAATGCATATCAATAAGTGCCTTAACTATGCATCATTTAAGAGTTATTTTCGTATCTTTTTTTGATAACAAAATCCTTTCAAAATATCTTTCAAATAGAATCTCCCTAGGAACTTCAATATATAAAACCTATAAACTTGATGCTGCTCTAACTTGGGGGTGGGAAGCTCTGTATCAAACCCTAGCTGTGTGGCTTTTCCTTTATCCTGATAGCACCACTAAACACTTCCATGAAACTAAGGGTTCTACAGAATAGTTTGAAATCCACCACTTTAAGCCATAGCTTAGTTCCAACAGATTGTTGGTTCAAAATAATATGTAAGTTAAACGCTTGTCTGAGTATCTTATACTGTATATATGATCCAGGTAACTGGATGATGGGTTTTTTAATTGGGATAAGTACTTTTATGATCTGAAGCAGCTTATACAATCCCTAATCTAAAAAGGGAACAGCCTATCTGGTATATTATACAAATGAAAATGAATGTTTGCAGGCAAATTTGCAGTTTAGGGAAGGGAAAAACAAGAGGTCTATCTCGGTCTGGTTTAACTATTATTAAGAGAGCTTTCTATAGTCATGTCTAGAATGGACTGAGGTGGCGGGTGGTGGGTGGCCAGGCTGATTCAAACTAGTTTAGCTTTTCTTTAGATTTAGACTTTTGTGGTATGCAGAAAGAGGGTTTAAGTATATTAAAATGTCCTAAGTTGCTCCTTTACTCTAGCCCTGCTTGCTATTATTCCATTATCTACAGTTAAATTTCTTATTTTATAATCCTAGTATCTCTTGAGGTAAGTTCCCTTGACTTAACCAAATTCCCCTAATTGTGCTGCTCCTAAACATAGTAGGTGGCAGTTTTTCCTTATGTGTCATTTTAAAGATTAGAAAGACTTATAGTCATCCTCTCTTTACCTGATAAGAAAGGCCAGTCTGCAAGAACAAACTACTCTGATACTTGCTATTCTCCTCTATTTTTAAACAAAATGCATCCTGACAAGCAAATACTGAGGGATTTCATCACCACCACGCCTGCGCTGTGCACTAAACATGGAAAGGAAAAACCATTACCAGCCACTACAAAAACACACCAAAGTACACAGACCAATGACACTATGAAGCAACTACATTAACAAGTCTGCAAATTAACTAGCCAGCATCATTATGACAGGATCAAATTCACACATAACAATATTAACCTTAAATGAAAATGGACTAAATGCCCTAATTAAAGACACAGGATGGTAAGCTGGACAAAAAGACAAGACCCATTGGTGTGCTGTATTCAAGAGACACATCGCATGTGCAAAGACACACATAGGCTCAAAATAAAGGGATGGAGGAAAATTTACCAAGCAAATGGAAAGCAGAAAAAAACAGAGGTTGCAATCCTAGTGTCTGACAAAATAGACTTTAAACCAACAGATGTCAAAAAACACAAAGAAGGTCATTACATAATGGTAAAGGGCTCAATTCAACAAGAAGAGCTAACTATCCTAAATATATATGTACTCAATACAGGAACACCCAGATTCATAAAGCAAGTACTAAAGACCTACCAAGAGACACACACCTCCACATAATAATAGTGGGAGACTTTAATATCCCACTGTCAATATCAGAAAGATCATCAAGACAGAAAATTACCAAAGATACTCAGACTTGAACTCAGCTCTAGATCAAGTGGACCTGATAGATATCTATAGAACTCTCCACCCCTCCAAAAAAAACCAGAATATACATTTTTCTCAGTGCCATGTGGCACTTACTCTAAAATTGATCACATAATTGGAAGGAAAACACTCCTCAGCAAATGTAAAAAAACTGAAATCATAATAGTCTCTCAGACCACAGCACAACCAAATTAAACTCAAGATTAAGAAATTCACTCAAAACCACATGACTACATGGAAATTGTACAAGCTGTTCTTGAATGACTTCTGGGTAAATAATGAAATTAAGGCAGAGATCAAGATGTTCTTTGAAACTAATGAGAACAAAGAGACAACATGCCAGAATCTCTGCGACACAGCTAAAGTGGCGTTAAGAGGGAAATTTATAGCACTAAATGCCCACATCGAAAAGCTAGAAAGATCTCACATTGACATCCTAACATGACAACTAAAATAACTAGAGAACCAAGAGCCAACAAACCGCAGACCTAGCAGAAGACAAGAAATAACCAAGCTTCAGAGCTGAAGGTGACAAAGGCACAAAAATCCCCTCAAAAAAAAAAAAAAAATCCAGGAGCTGTTTTTTTGAAAAAAACAAAAAACAACAACAATAAAATAGACTGCTAGCTACACTAATAAAGAAAAAAAGAGAGAAGATTCAAATAAACACAATCTGAAATGATAAGGAAGATACCATGACTGATCCCATAGAAATACAAAACACCATCAGAGAATACTATAAACACTTCTATGCAAATATACTATAGAATCTAAAAATGAATAAATTTCTGGACACATACACCCTCCCAAGACTGAACCAGGAAGAAGTTGAATCCCTGAATAGGCCAGAAAAACATTCTGAAATTGAGGCAGTAATGAATAGCCTACTATCCAAAAAAAGCTCAGGACCAGATGCATTTACAGCTGAATTCTACCAGAGATAGAAAGAGGAGCTGGTACCATTTCTTCTGAAACTACTCCAAACAACTGAAAAGGAGTGACTCCTCCCTAACTCATTGTATGAGGCCAGCATCATCCTGATACCAAAGCCTGGCAGAGATACAACAAAAAAAGAAAAGAAAAGAAAACTTCAGGCCAATATTCCTGATGAACATCGATGCAAAAATCCTCAGTAAAATACTGGCAAACCAAATCCAGAAGCACATCAAAAATCTTATCCACCATGATCAAGTTGGCTTCATCCCTGGGATGAAAGGCTGGTTCAACATATGCAAAATCAATAAATGTAATTCATCACGTAAAAAGAACTAAAGACAAAAACCACATGATTATCTGAATAGACGCAGAAAAGGCCTTTGATAAAATTCAACATCCCTTCATGTTAAAAACTCTCAATAAACTAGGTATCGAAGGAACATGTCTCAAAATAATAAGAGCCATTTATGACAAACCCACAGCCAATATCATAATGAATGGGCAAAGGCTGGAAGCATTCCTCTTGAAAACTGGCACAAGACAAGGATGCCCTCTCTCACCACTCTTATTAAACATAGTATTGGAAGTTCTTGCCAGGGCAATTAGGCAAGATAAAAAAAATAAAGGGTATTGAAAGAGCAAGAGAGGAAGTCAAATAGTCTTTGTTTGCCGATGATATGATCCCTATATCTAGAAAACCCCCTCAACTCAGCCCAAAAGCTTCTTAAGCTGATAAGCAACTTCAGCTAAGCCTCAAGATACAAAAATCAAAGTGCAAAATTTGCTAGCATTTCTATACACCAACAACAGGCAAGCAGAGAGCCAAATCATAAATGAACTCCCATTCACAATTGCCACAAAAGAATAAAATACCTAGGAATACAGCTAACGGGAAGTTACGGACTTCTTCAAGGAGAACTACAAACCATTGCTCGAGGAAATCAGAGAAGACACAAACAAATGGAAAAACTTTCCATGCTCATGGATAGGAAGAAACAATATCGTGAAAATGGCCATGTTGCCCAATGGAATTTAAAGATTCAATGCTATTCCCATTCAGTTATCATTGACATTCTTCACAGAATTAGAAAAAACTATTTTAAAATTCACATGGAACCAACAAAGAGCTCATATAGCCAGGACAACCCTAAGCAAAAAAGAACAAAGTTGGAGCCATCATGCTACCTGACTTCAAACTATACCACAAGGCTACAGTAGCCAAAACAGCAAGGTATTGGTACAAAAACGGGCACACAGACCAATGGAGCAGAATAGAGAACTAAAACCGCACATCTACAACCATCTGATCTTTGACAAACCTGACAAAAACAAGCAATGGGGAAAGGATTCACTATTTAATAAATGGTGCTGGGAAAACTGGCTAGCCATATGCAGGAAAACTGAAATTTGATCCCTTCCTTACACCTTATACAAAAAGTAACTCATGATGGATTAATGACTTAAATGTAAAACCCAAAACTATAAAAACCCTAGAAGAAAATATAGGCAATACCATTCAGACATAGGCATGGGCAAAGATTTTATCATGAAATCACCAAAACCAATCACAACAAAAGCAAAAATTGACAAATGAGATCTAATTAAACTAAAGAGCTTCTGCATAGCAAAAGGAACCATCATCAGAGTGAACAGACAACGTACAGAATGGGAGAAAATTTTTGCAATCTATCCATCTGACAAAGGTCTAATATCCAGAATCTACAAGGAATTTAAGCAGATTTATAAGAAAAAAAACTAAGAACCCCATTTAAAAATAGGCAAAGGACATGAACAAACACTTCTCAAAAGAAGACCTGCTCCTGAATGATTACTGGGTAAATAATGAAATGAAGGCAGAAATAAAGATGTTCTTTGAAACCAACGAGAACAAAGACACAACATACCAGAATCTCTGGGACACATTCAAAGCAGTGTGTAGATGGAAATTTATAGTACTAAATGCCCACAAGAGAAAGCAGGAAAGATCTAAAATTGACATCTTAACATCACAATTAAAAGAACTAGAAAAGCAAGAGCAAACACATTCAAAAGCTAGCAGAAGGCACGAAATAACTAAGATCAGAGCAGAACTGAAGGAAATAGATACAAAAAACCCTTCAAAAAATCAATGAATCCGGGAGCTGGTTTTTTGAAAAGATCAACAAAATTGATAGACCGCTAGCAAGACTAATAAAGAAGAAAAGAGAGAAGAATCAAATAGACACAATAAAAAATGATAAAGGGGATATCACCACCAATCCCACAGAAATACAAACTACCATCAGAGAATACTATAAACACCTCTATGCAAATAAACTAGAAAATCTAGGAGAAATGGATAAATTCCTCGACCCATACATCTTCCCAAGACTAAACCAGGAAGAAGCTGAATCTCTGAATAGACCAATAATAGGCTCTGAAATTGAGGCAATAATCAATAGCCTACCAACCAAAAAAAGTACAGGACCAGATGGATTCACAGCCGAATTCTACCAGAGGTACAAAGAGGAGCTGGTACCATTCCTTCTGAAACTATTCCGATCAATAGAAAAAGAGGGAGTCCTCCCTAACTCATTTTCTGAGGCCAGCATCATCCTGATACCAAAGCCGGGCAGAGACACAATGGAAAACAAGAATTTTAGACCAATATCCTTGATGAACATTGATGCAAAAATCCTCAATAAAATACTGGCAAACCAAATCCAGCAGCACATCAAAATGCTTACCCACCATGATCAAGTGGGCTTCATCCCTGGGATGCAAGGCTGGTTCAACATACCCAAATCAATAAATGTAATCCGGCATACAAACAGAACCAAAGACAAAAACCACATGATTATCTCAATAGATGCAGAAAAGGCCTTTGACAAAATTCAACAAATCTTCATGCTAAAAACTCTCAATAAATTAGGTATTGATGGGACGTATCTCAAAATAATAAGAGCTATCTATGACAAACCCACAGCCAGTATCATACTGAATGGGCAAAAACTGGAAGCATTCCCTTTGAAAACTGGCACAAGACAGGGAAGCCCCCTCTCACCACTCCTGTTCAACACAGTGTTGGAAGTTCCGGCCAGGGCAATCAGGCAGGAGAAGGAAATAAAGGGTATTCAATTAGGAAAAGAGGAAGTCAAATTGTCCCTGTTCACAGATGACATGATTGTATATCTAGAAAACCCCATCGTCTCAGCCCAAAATCTCCTAAAGCTGATACGCAACTTCAGCAAAGTCTCAGGATAGAAAAATCAATGTACAAAAATCACAAGCATTCTTATACACCAATAACAGACAAACAGAGAGCCAAATCATGAGTGAACTCCCATTCACAGTTGCTACAAAGAGAATAAAATACCTAGGAATCCAACTTACAAGGGATGTGAAGGACCTCTTCAAGGAAAACTACAAACCACTGCTCAATGAAATAAAAGAGGATACAAACAAATGGAAGAACATTCCATGCTCATGGGTAGGAAGAGTCAATATCATGAAAATGGCCATACTGCCCAAGGTAGTTTATAGATTCAATGCCATCCCCATCAAGCTACCAATGACTTTCTTCACAGAATTGGAAAAAAACTACTTTAAAGTTCATATGGAACCAAAAAAGAGCCCGCATCGCCAAGTCAATCCTAAGCCAAAAGAACAAAGCTGGAGGCATCACGCTACCTGACTTCAAACTATACTACAAGGCTACAGTAACCAAAACAGCATGGTACTGGTACCAAAACAGAGATATAGATCAATGGAACAGAACAGAGCCCTCAGAAATAATGCCACATATCTACAACTATCTGATCTTTGACAAACCTGAGAAAAACAAGCAATGGGGAAAGGATTCCCTATTTAATAAATGGTGCTGGGAAAACTGGCTAGTCATATGTAGAAAGCTGAAACTGGATCCCTTTCTTACACCTTATACAAAAATTAATTCAAGATGGATTAAAGACTTAAATGTTAGACCTAAAACCATAAAAACCCTAGAAGAAAACCTAGGCAATACCATTCAGGACATAGGCATGGGCAAGGACTTCATGTCTCAAACACCAAAAGCAATGGCAACAAAAGCCAAAATTGACAAATGGGATCTAATTAAACTAAAGAGCTTCTGCACAGCAAAAGAAACTACCATCAAAGTGAACAGGCAACCTACAGAATGGGAGAAAATTTTGTAACCTACTCATCTGACAAAGGGCTAATATCCAGACTCTACAATGAACTCAAACAAATTTACAAGAAAAAAACAAACAACCCCATCAAAAAGTGGGCAAAGGATATGAACAGACACTTCTCAAAAGAAGACATTTATGCAGCCAAAAAACACATGAAAAAATGCTCATCATCACTGGCCATCAGAGAAATGCAAATCAAAACCACGATGAGATACCATCTCACACCAGTTAGAATGGCAATCATTAAAAAGTCAGGAAACAACAGGTGCTGGAGAGGATGTGGAGAAATAGGAACACTTTTACACTGTTGGTGGGACTGTAAACTAGTTCAACGATTGTGGAAGTCAGTGTGGCGATTCCTCAGGGATACAGAACTAGAAATACCATTTGACCCAGCCATCCCATTACTGGGTATATACCCAAAGGATTATAAATCATGCTGCTATAAAGACACATGCACACGTATGTTTATTGCGGCACTATTCACAATAGCAAAGACTTGGAACCAACCTAAATGTCCAACAACGATAGACTGGATTAAGAAAATGTGGCACATACATACCATGGAATAATATGCAGCCATAAAAAATGATGAGTTCATGTCCTTTGTAGGGACATGGATGAAACTGGAAACCGTCATTCTCAGCAAACTATCACAAGGACAAAAAACCAAACACCGCATGTTCTCACTCATAGGTGGGAATTGAACAATGAGAACACATGGACACAGGAAGGGGAACATCAAACTCTGGGGACTGTTGTGGGGTGGGGGGCGGGGGGAGGGATAGCATTAGGAGATATAGCTAATGCTAAATGACGAGTTAATGGGTGCAGCACACCAACATGGCACATGTATACATATGTAACAAACCTGCACGTTGTGCACATGTATCCTAAAACTTAAAGTATAATAATAATAAAATTAAAAAAAAGAAGACATACATGTGGCCAATAAACATGAAAAAAAGCTCAACATCACTGATCATCAGAGAAATGCAAATCAAAACCACAATGAGATAATCTCTCACACCAGTCAGAACGGCTATTACTAAAGTCATAAAATAACAGATGTTGGTGAAGTTGTGGAGAGAAACGAACACTTTTACACTGTTGGTGGGGATGTAAATTAGTTCAACCATTGTGGAAGATAATGTGGCGATTCCTCAAAGATTTAGAACCGGAAATACCATTTGACCCAGCAATCCCATTACTAGGTATATACCCAAAGGAACATAAATCATTCTATTATAAAGATACATGCGTGCATATGTTCATTGCAGCACTATTCACAATAGCAAAGACTTGAAATCAACCCAAATGTCCATCAATGATAGACTGGATAAAGAAAATGTGGTACATATACACCATGGAATACTATGTAGCCATAAAAAGGAATGAGATCATGTCCTTTGCAGGGACATGGATGAAGCTGGAAAGCCATTATCCTCAGCAAACCAACACAGGAACAGAAAACCAAACACTGCACATTCTCACTTATAAGTGGGAGCTCAACAATGAGAAGACATGGACACAGGGAGGGGAACAACACACACTGGGGCCTGTTGTGGGAGGGTGGGGGCGGAAGAACATCAGGAAAAATAGCTGATGCATGTTGGGCTTATACCTAGGTGATGAGTTGATAGGTGCACAAAACCATCATGGCACACATTTACCTATGTAACAAATCTAAACATGCTGTACATGTACCCTGGAACTTAAAATATAATTTTTTAAAAAAAGGTAAAATGTCTCCTGAGATTCATTATATTTATGTCACTACCTACTAATAGGTTAAGATCTCCAATTTGAAAAACACTGGCTTAGATTATTCTAGCTCTGACATTTGAAAACACGGTGAATGACCTAAGGAACATTTTCTCTTACAAGAATGGTATAAGTTTTTTACTGAGAAATTGAGTAATATGTTTTGGACAATTTCCTTCAAAATTTAATTCTTTGAGTCTTATTGTTTTATATGGTGATCTTGGTTTGTAATTATTTCTTACTGAATAATTTATAATACTTATTCAATTAGAAGTTGCTTACCTACTATAATAAGAAATAGGATATAGGGAAGCATTAATATTAGCTATAGGGAGATATATATATATATCATCCATTCAGATGAGATATATATATCATCCATTCAGATGAGATATATATCATCCATTCAGATGAGATATATGTATATCATCCATTCAGATGACATATATATATATCATCCATTCAGATGAGATATATATATATACACAATAAGAACATTCTAGCATCCTCTCATATATATATATTATATATATGTTATATATCTATATTATATATATGTTTTATATATATATATGAGTTAGGATACTAGAATGTTCTTATAATTGCACAGCAGTTTTGTACCTAATTATGCCTTGATTTGAGGCTTTTAGGACTATAGCTGGAAAAACAAACTACAAAGTACCTGACATCAGATTCCAGACCGGCTCAGAGCTGTGCCTTCCAATATAAGTAATTTAGTTTGGGGACAATGTCTGGCAACTGGAATGTGGACAAAGGATGGATGAAAGGTGACCAAAATGGCTAGTGACTACAGAACTACACCAGCTTAGTAAGGGCTTGGAGAAATGAAAAATCTGTATATAAATTTTCATAGTAGCTCTATTCCTAATCACCAAAAGCTGGAAACAACCCAAATGTCCAACAGGTTAAGTGATAAAGTAAACCGTGGCACATCCATATGAAGGAATACTACTTAGTAACAAAAAGGAACAAGCTATTGACACATGCAACAATCTTGATAATCTAAGTGAAAGAAGCCAGTCTATGTATGATTCCATTTAGATGGCATTCTCAAAAAGACAGAGCTATAGTGACAGAGAACAGATCAGTGTTTCTGGGAGTTAGAAGTGGGAAGAAGGTCTGACTGCAGACAGACAGCATGAGGTACTTTTTGGGAATGATATAACTGTTCTGTATCCTGGTTGTGGTGATGGTTACATGACTCTATGTATATATTAAAACTGATAGAATTGTATGAATTTACTGTGTGATAATTTTAAAATATTTTTTTTTTGAGATGGAGTTTCGCTCTTGTTGCCCAGGCTGAAGTGTAATGGCATGATCTTGGCTCATCACAACCTCTGCCTCCCGGGTTCAAGTGATTCTCCTGCCTCAGCCTCCCGAGTAGCTGGGATTACAGGCATGTGCCACCAAGCCCGGCTAATTTTGTATTTTTAGTAGAGACAGGGTTTCTCCATGTTGGTCAGGCTGGTCTCAAACTCCCGACCTCAGGTGATCCACCCACCTCAGCCTCCCAAAGTGCTGGGATTATAGGCGTGAGCCACTGTGCCCGGCCAAAAATTTTTTTAAACATATAGCTATTTCTATTAAAATTATAATTTGTCATTTTGTTTTCTAGGTAACTTTTTTTTAAGATCTTAAGAGTCACTAACTACTGAAAAAATTTCTTGAGAGTTTTATCTTAATGTAAAAATATATACTAATCACTCAAACTACTTTTCTCAGTCATGACCCCCATATTCTGGCAGCTACTTTAAAGATTTGAGACAGAGATACTGATATATGAGACAAAATTTGATTTTCTCTTGGTCTCATCCTAAAGAATGTTGTTGGGACTGACATGGTATCTCATTCTAGTTTTCATCTGCATTTCCCTAATGACTAATGACGTTGAACAGCCTTTGGAATAGCTATAGTTTTGAAAACACAAAGTCCTTATAAAAGTAAGCATGCTGTAATACAGAATCTAAAAATCTTTACAGTAGCCTATCCAGATAATATTCAATAAAGCATATGAGGTTTTCTCATGACCACAAAATTCAGAAACTAATATCATGGCATTAAGAGAGAATATATTTTTTAAAACCCTACCTTTTCTCGCTGAAACCAAGCCCGCCAATCCTGAAACTGTAATAACTCCCATTTTCGGAAGAAAATCTCGAGGAGGATTCTTCAGATAGACATAAGCATCTCAAGAAATCAGTTAAAAATTAACATGAATAACTGAATTCTACTGGATATTCTATACAGTTATAATGCAGGAAGGTTAAAGAGATTTGCTAAGATAATAATGAGGTTTAAATATTCTTCAAAAGAGCTACATATAATGACAATATGAGTAGCAAGCTAAAAAACTAGATATATTTACTTGTTACAAAATAAAATTTTCCTTCCGTAGCTGATTTAATATTTCTTTTCCTAATGATACTGACGGTTATTACTATAAAGAAATGTAATGCTAGAGGGCACATCTTAATATGGGTTACTATAAGGTAAATTTCTGACTGCGTATGTATTATATCTCTATGATGAACTTCTGCCCTTATCTGTTCAAACACTGGTAGCCTCCAATAAGAAATGAAATAGATACTTTATTAAGGAGTTTTGAATAATAGTTTAAGGATATACACAGCTACTAGACCTTGCTTGCCACTACTCCCTAATAACCTCAGGACAGCCACTGCTGTTGGTTAAAGTCAATCATCAGTGAGCCTAGACAAAAAGTAGATGAAGAGTAGTTCTTGGCTTTCTATATGTTGAATTTGTTTCTGGTTCCAAAAGTACACTTTTCTATCATAGTTAATTATTTAATGGCAATCACATATTTAATCCTATTCCTCATGATTGATGAGGAATATAATTTTGAATTTATTCCTAATACATTAAATAATGACAATTCAAATACAGGTCATCAACTTCATGGAAACATTCAACATTTTAGCTCATCTTTCTATCTCCTATACATATTTATTATGACAACTGGCATAAGCCAAGAATATTACAAAGCTATATCTGTTGCCAAACACCATTAACAAGCTAAAGAGTCAAGTATAATTGCTTTTTAACCATTAGCTTAAATATTCCAGGGTTAGTGATTGCTATAACATTTCCTAGCAATTGACAGCAAAATACAATGTATTTTAACAGCAAGTAGCACTTAAACTAATTAGCAACAATGGAGACATGTTTTTAATTTATGCTTTATGATATATAATATAGACTTTGTAGTTAAAACAGACCTCAGTTTGTATCCTGGCACTACCACTTACAGTTACGTAAGCTCGATAACCTACTTAACCTTCCTAAACCTCAGTTGCCCTCATCTGTAAAATGGGAATAATTATAATACCAATACTAACATAATTGTGACAAAAATTATGTAAAATGCTAAGTACAACACCTTAGCCAATAATAACTGCTGAATAATGAATATTACTGCTTTGCTATTAATCAATAATCAACAAATAATCAATAAATTAATCAATAAATTGCTATAGAGAGTACCTTCTGAGTTGGTAAATGCATGATAATGGGTAACATACCAAGTTTATTTTTCTCACATTTAAACAATGCAATTTAAAAACACAATAAAACATTTCTAATTATCTACTCACCTACCTTTTCCAAATTGTACTGTATCCATTATCCCATTTTTCACAAAGACATAAACACCCTAAGCAAAAAAAAAGGGGGGGAAGACATCTGCATTTTTGAAGCTGTTGATAATGAGATAAAATTGCCTGCATCTCTGAGATTATATTAAAAGGTTGACTTAACATTATGCCCAAATCTAAATCCAGCTTTCCTATGTATTCACTACCAGCTTGTTTTCATTTCCTGCTTTTCATTCTATTTAACATGGATAACATTTATATCATTTTTCTCATATAAATGGATAATGTGCCTATGAAATAATCAGAGCAGAAATGATACTGAAAAAAATATTTATCATCTTATTTTATAATGACCTAGAAAAATAAATGGAATTTAAATAAAGAAGAAGGGAGGTATATTTCAGTTTAGAAGCAACATCTGATTAATAAAGTTGCAATAGCAACAACATAATGATTTGTGGAGGGAAAAAAAGAGCAAAAAGCCTAAAGCAAAGGGCTTCATCTTCCTCCCTTTTCTTAGTGTGCATTAGAATGAGAAAAAAATCTAAATTACCTCAGGACAGAAATCATCCTACATAGACCAGTGTTTATCCTGTTTTTAAATCGGAACATAAATTCTCTAGAAATCAAAACTATGTTAATACATCAGAGGAATTAAAGTTTTAAAGCAAATCTTTAACTTTACCTGTTTCTAACTGATTTATTTTAGTGCAAAAGAGTGTTAAATATATTTATTGAGTGCTAGGTATTACCTCACTTAGATAAGAAAAAAAAGGAAGTCACAAAATGATTTACTCGTGGTCATATTGTACTCTGTTGATGGAACCAGAAAACACAATCCTTCTCTGAACTAGCTGCTATGAAACCATGGGATAAAAACAAGAACAAAAGAGACTTTCAAAGCAGAGAAAACAGATATTATTATATTGGACAGGGAAGAAATAAGTTTTTGTTATAGAGATAGCTTGGTTTTGTAATTTTGTCTTACATATTTTAATGGTTATCAGAGAGATGCAGAGGTTCATCTTGGTTTAAAATTGTACAAATCAGCATAAACGCTAACTGCTATTGAACTACTTTTCTGTAGGGACTGTCTTGAGAATATTTCACCTTCAAAGTTAAAATACCTATTGACCAGTCGATTGGGAATCATTTAACCATTAAGGAAGAAAATTAGTCATCTTTCAAAAAAAATTTTTCTTAGCTCTGCTAAGGAATTCATTTTTACCACATGGGGTCAGTGCTACCTAAATTTCAAAACACTAAGCTAGCAGGAGTAGAAATTGAATTTGCTCTACATGATTCAAGCTTTAATGTGGAACGAATTTGAGTCAGACATAATTTTTAAAGAATGGATTACATTTTTAGGGGAAAATTAGGAAAAAAAATTGTTTACATTTAGGACAAAATGCACTGGAAATTGCCTTTCTTCAACCTATTTGTTTGAGCATATTAATGGAATAAAACATTCTTTTGAATCTTAAATTGGATGACAGTTACAATAGCAATTTAAAGACCTCTCAGGAACATTTTATCTCACTGAAGAAAAATTTCAGAACATTATGGAAAATTACATCTCAGGAGGCTTAAGTCTGAATCATCTAGCTATTGGCACATAGTCATAGGGGCATGATTCAGACCATAATTGGTTAAGGTATTTCCCTCTTAGATCAAACTATTAATAGTGTGTAGTACAACTAGTACCATAAGAATTGTATGACAAACACAAGTTTTCAAAAATAACATCATGTACTTATCAGATATTTGAAATATTATCTGGAATTACCAGAGTTCATTGATTTGGTATTTCACCTAAGCACAAATTATTTTTCATAAGTTCATTAGATTTCTTTTTAAAGATAATGGATAGAAACTAAAAAGAACAATGATTCACCATCAGGCTATATTTGGGGAAAAGTCGCATGGTTACTAGGTTAGAATGATGAAAACACTGGTACCAACATTAAGATACTGACACTGGAGATGCTAACACAATGATGTTTATGTGATGATAATGAAACATTAGTGTTGCATCAGCTTACTCCACCACTCTGCTGATGGATATTGCTGATTGAAGGCTAAGCATTAAAGTCACGTGTATTCTACTTTGCCCAATAGCTTACTGTAGTTAGAATGGTCTTATGAGCTAACGCCAACAAGTAAATAACACTTTACTTAGCCAAAGAAGAAAATATTCAGAAGTAATCTCAGAACTTCACATAAAAAGTGAGTGACACTGTGTACATGCTAGGTGACATAAATCCTTGCTGAACTACTTTAATCTATGCAGTAGTGGTAGAGTAGGTTCAATATAGCCACAAATTATTTGCTGCTACTTCTACTGAGAGTTGGCATCTAATTCCCTTCCCTTTAAAACTGAGCTGGCCTTAGTGACTTAACAATAGAATGCTGTAGAAGTGACTTTCTTGGATATCTGATGATAGGCAAAAAGCCTGGCAAATTCTGCCTAGGGCCACTTGTAACATTGTCTTTAGGAGCCCTGAATTACCCAAGTAAGTTATATCTGACCTATTTGAGATCACCATGCTTGAGAGGCCACGTGTAGGTGTTCTAGTCAATAATCCCAGCTGAACCCAGTCATCCAGCCATCCTTAACAAGGTGCCAGAGATGCAAATAAAGCTGTCTTGGACTGTCTAGATCAGCTCATTTGCCAGATGAACCCCACTGGGCCACCTCTGTCAATGCCACATGCAACAGACAAATCACCTGTCTGAACTCAGATCAAATTCATGACTTACAAAATCATAAGATGTAATATAATGGTTGTGGTTTTAAGCCATTAAGTTTTGGATTAGTTTTCTACACATCAGTAGGTAACTGGAACAATTAATCAGAAATCTCTGATATTAAACCACTATCAGAATTGACTTACCTTGCACCAGCCAATGTAACAACCAGTTGCAGTGCGGATGGAAGCAAAGCCCATTTGTAAATGACCAGGCTGCTCTTCAACATATTTAGACTGGAGCGGTGGTGCAGTATATATGGGGAGCTACAGGCAAAAAATGTTCATGTCAAAAACATAAAATAGCTGGACTGTCCATAACAGCGGTATGGCAGAACAGGAATCCTCATCAGCCTTCTTTCTAAAAACAACTAAAAATGCTGATAAAATACTTTTAAAAAACCATCTTAAATACAGGAATGATGTGGTAAACTGTTTATAAAGACCGTTTAAAACCCAGAAATTAAAAGATGCCAAATATAATATAATCCAATGGTTCTACTCCTATGTATATTTAGAGAAACTACTGTCTTTGCACACCCAGAGTTAGTATAATAACGTTCACAGCAACATTTTAATTACAACCAACCCAATGTCCATCCACAGTAAAATGGATCCTTTGGGGTATATTCGTACAAAGAAATATTAGAAATTAGGGGGTAAATATAAAAATTACAGCAACATGGAAAAATTTGGATGAATTTCAGGAATATAAGGTTACTTAAAAAAAACATTGCTTAGCAATACAGACATATAAGGTAAAATTAAAAAGTAAAGGAGGGGAATAATAGTAAAAATTCAGGGTAATGGTAACCTCTGAATGGAATGAAATGGAAACACAGAGGATTTTGTTTTCCTTTAAATTGGGTGCTAGGTATACGGTTGTACATCATTATCATCATCATATTATTATTCATACCTTTCATATTTTGAACAGCCTTTTGATTCTAATTAGTATTTAATAAAAACAAACATACACAAAAGAACAATGAAAAACTTAACCAGGTAGGGACTTACTTCCTTTAAAAAAAAATTTTTTTTTTTTTTTTGCTTTTATATTTAGGGTATAAATCCTCCTATGAAGCCTGGTGTTTGAGGAAGATAGAACTGGGAAGAATCAAGTTTACAAATCAACATCAAGGGAACTAGATGATTAATGACTTTGGATTTGCTCCTCTACCAACAACAAACATGAAACTATAGTTAACACTATATTGTTTTCTTGAAAAATGCTAAGAGTGGGTATAAAATGTCCTCAACACAAAAATGATAACTATTCAAGGTAATACATATGTAAATTAGACAGATTTAGTCATTCCACAATGTATATATACTTCAAAGCATCATGCTGTACAAGGTAAATGCATACAATTTTATGTCAGTTTTTTTATCTAAAGTTAAAAAATAAATAAAACATAAGACAGTGTGAGTTTGGTAAAGCTTTTCCAGTAGTAAGTCAGAAAAGTCTTGTTTTACCATTAAATGACTCTTTACTACCCATACCAGGATTAAAGAGTTAGTGTTTTATCTTTCTGGACTAATGCTTAAATTCACCACATTGGCAACTATGTATAATTAGGAAGGTGAGAGATGCATATCTTATTAAAGATGCGTTTTATATATAAAAAGCAGGTGCACTGCAAATAGGCAAGTTTCCTCTCTCCCCTAGAAAGGAGAGGTATATGTGGATGTACTGGTGTCAGAGTGGGCAACGTTATTTACTTACATGTTTGTCCATCATGTTTCTATCCTCTTTATTATTTACACATCCCAATTCCAAACTTTATTACACTCATTGTTCTTATTCTCTCTCCTCTGTCCCCATCAAAACCTGCTGATTAAGTTGTTTTTTGTTTGTTTGTTTGTTTTTTGAGACGGTCTTGTTTTGTCATCCAGTCTAGAGTACAGTGGCATGAACACAGCTCACTGTAGCCTCAACCTCCCGGGCTCAAGCAATCCTCTCACCTCAGCATCCCGAGTAGCTGGGACTACAGGCACACCCCCAACAAACCCGGCTAATTTTTGTATTTTTTTTGTAGAGATGGGGTTTCACCCTGTTGCCCAGACTGGTCTCCAATTCTTGAGCTCAAGCAATCCGCCCGCCTTGGCATCCTAAAGTGCTGGGATTACAAGCATGAGGCACTGCGCCTCACGGGTTCAGGTTCTTTATCTGTTTGTTGCCTATTATAAACAAAATTTTGTATATGTAGTTTTCTAGGAAGAGCATTCAAAGTTTTTATCAGACTCTCAAAGGGGTCAGAATGGTTAAGAACCAGTGTTTTAAAGTATTTTCCTTCTAAGGCATAGGCATAGTTGAAACGTTTATGATGATAGGATTTCAGCTCTACTTTAAGAATTTTAAGAGCTAGCCAGTAGCATGTTACTATAGCCTCCATTGAGAAAAGCATTCTCACTACAAATTTTAGAGACCTTGGGGCTTAAATGCCACTTATTGTATAGATAGAACTTGTATGTTCTCATTTAGAAATTATGATTACATTGAGTAAGCTATAAAACCACATTTAAAATTAAATTGAACCAAAGTAACTAAAACTCTCAAATCAGTATTTTTCTGTTATTTCTCAGTGACAACAAGCAAATGGCAAGAAAATAAGTATAATTCATCTCATAGAGGGATTTTAAAAAGAAATGTCCAGGGATGTCTAGGGCTGGCTGTATACATGCATTCCAATTGCCAGTCATTTTACTGATCTGAATACTACAGATTTCATGGTTAAAAAAAATGATTGTCTCATGGTGCTACAGAGTTTTCTATTAAAGGGAGATTTAATTATGTTCACTAGATGGCATATAAGGCAGGAATATATTGAGAATATTTAAAAAGATGTTTAGTGAGAAGAGTTGAACTAAAACAGATTTTCTGTTTAGCTGCAAGTTTACCAAAAGATTCAAACAACCAAATAACCAGAACACTTCATTCATAAAGTATTCTGGTTTAGTAGAAGTGTTATTACAGATTTAAACAGAAGTATAGCTCACTTTACACAATAAAAGTAGCTAGAAATGTTGCGCATAAATCACATTTTAATCCCTTCAGAAATTCTACATTCCTCAAGGACTAGATCCTGACTTTGTGTATAGTTCCTAGCACATAGCTGGCAACAAACTTTGTTTGATAAGTAATTCAATTAAATGATATTTAAAATGTACTTGGGGAATACAATAAATACCAAGGAATACTGCATATTCCATAATAAGCAGCACTACTTTATTTTAAAATTTCAAAAATTAAATTCAGCCATTAGGGATTTATCTTCCTACCTAGATTTGAGCTGTCCAGATATGGGAGTGTCAAGGAAGCCTTAAAATCAACATCCTCCTAAGATTAATAAACAGAAAAAATAAAAAAATACTTAGAATCAGTTAGCGGGTAGGGAAATGAGTCTACCCCAGACCATTAATGAAAATAAACTTTATCTAGTAATTAGAACAGTGCCTCACAAATATATAAGAGGAGCTTAGAAAATATTTTTGGTTGAATTTATGAATATTACCTTTATGCATGTTAGTTTGGCAATATTATCAATGTTTTATGCCTTTTGACCTACACTTCGGCTTATAGAAATTCATTCTAAGGAAATGGTTATAGATGTATATATAGATTCAATACAAAGTGGTTCAACAAGTACTGATTACAATAGCAATAGCTGGAAATAGTCTACATTTCCAAAAATTTATGAAAATTTTACATTTATTTGATGGTAGTACATTCATACAGCAGAATACTTATGACACCATTAAGAATTCTGGCCAATGTCATCTAACTAGTCAGTCGTGGAATCAGGATTCAAATTCAGGCCTGATTCAAAAACATATTATTAAGTGTGTGGATAAATCTTAAGGTTGACTTAAAGCGGGAAGAGATAAAAAGCACAATGATGAATAGAATTAGTAACCACAATTACAGCTCAACAGGCTGGCATGATAAGCCAGATCAACAAGGTAAAATTTAAACAGGTATAAACATACCTTCAACAGAGTCCAAAAAGTTCAAATGCCTAAGTACAGACTGGGATGAGGCATACCTTACCAGTAGTCCATGTAAAAAGGCTTAATGAATTTTAGAGAACCACATGCTTACTATGTCATGGTCAAAGGCTGCTTATGAGCATGGTTGATTTTGAGCACTCAAATATAAAAACTAATGTGATCTTAGGCAGCATTAATAGAAATATAACATCTAGAAGAGGAAAAGTCAGAGACTGACTCTATCCTGTAGCAGTCAAAACACCGTGGTTCATACATCCAAGTCATGGCACCAAAAACCAAAATGTTTTTTAAAAAGAAAAACAAACTACTTACACCTGAAGAAAACACTATCCTGAACATGCTTGGCAGAGGCTGATCATGATAGTGAGGAACTCAAAGCTGTGATGTATGAGAAATAGTTGAAGCTACTAAACGCTTTAAAATGTTTATCCTGGAAGCAAAATTACTTAAAGTATAACTGATATTTAAAGGCTTGTTTTTTGAAAGAGAGTTTTCTGTATGGCACCAATGCAAGAGATACAGTACCAACAGGTAGAAGTTATTATGAGACAAATTTCTGTCTGATATAAGAAAGGACCTTAAGTTAAATGAGAGGATTTAGAAAACGGAATGGGCTCCTTAGGCTCCTTTACCTAGAGTTTTATTCATGTAGAAGATATATGGCCACTAAATGTGCCTACTATAGAGGGAATTACAGTACCATACAGAAGGTTGATCTAGAAAACATCTAAGGTCACTTCCAAAACTGAGATCTTAATGAATTTGTTAAACTGAAGTTTCCTAATACTGAATGTACCTGTGTAAGTTTTTCAAGAAAGAAAAATCAGACTGCCTAGAACGTCTAACACCCTCCACTACTTATTGATTATTCATTAAGAAAAATCACTAGTTGTTTTTCACTGGAGTTAGAATTTTAGATGTTTGAGTTACATATTGTCTTTTGAGATACTTCATAACTATTTCTCTCAACTTTTAATATCTACCTAACAAAGACTTCTAAGACATTTTTGATGGGCAAAGATAATTTTAAAAAATATAGCTTTTGTGTCATCTTGATATTATACAAAGTTCATAAACCTTTGTAGGCAAATTACCTGCTCTGGTTTCACTAGCTGCTTTTTGGATTCCTCTTGTTTGGCTGCATGTACACTTACAGATGCATATATCAGACCTGCAGGCATGGTTGTCAGTTTTCCCATCTAAGAAAGATATATCAAAAACATCTTTTTAGTTGAAAAGCTTTCCATCTTCCATTTCCTAATAAATACTGGAGGAATCTCAGGAAATCTATTGGTTTCACTTTAATATATTAAATACTCAAACACTCCAAATTACCTCAGACATTTTTAAGACATAGTTCATAAAATTATCTTCTCATACTGGATGGCAGAGCACTATTTTTACCTGTTTGTTAACTACTTCATAAGAAATATAGCAATATAATATTTATCTGGAATATTATTATGTAATAATATAGCAATGTAATAATTACTAAAATCTGAGGAATGGAGTGGGATTGGTCTTGATATTCATTCAGTCCACAAACATCAATTGAACACCTACTATGTGCCAGACTCTGGTCTTAGTGCTTAGAATATATCAGTGAACAAAACAAAGATTCCTGTTCTCATACAAATGACATTCCAGTAGAGAGGAGGCAGGCAATAAACACAATAAACTATATGTTATATTATAAGTTGATAAATGCTCTGGAGAAAGTAAAGGATAAGAGTGGTCTGGAGTACTGAGTGATGCAGGCTGCATCTTGAAATACAATTTATATTAACATTATCCATAAAAAATGAATTCTTTCTATTATAAATCCTTTGCCCCTGATTTTCCCAATGCATTCCCTTTTACCTGTTTCTTGCTAAATCTAAAGCAAAAAGTGATCTTTGTTTTAGCTATAACTTGATTTGAATTAAGAATGAGGAAAAGTACTGGCTCTAAGAATAAAGTCTTCTAGTGTTATTCAGGTACCAAAATAATTCCCAAAGATTATCCATTCAACAAGGCCAACTGTAAAGCTTTCCAAGGTACAAATATTTTAACACTCTGATTCTTTAGATGGGAAAGAAGCTTCCTGAATTTGACAAAGGACATTATGAGGGAAGCAGTCTCCTTGTTTTACACACAAATAAAATTGTGCAACACCTGGAAGAATCACTGGCTAAAGGATTCTAAATGTTCTCCAATGACAGTGATAGTACCTATACTTCATTTCTGACACTGTTTTTAATATTTTCTGAGAAGAGCAAGGGAAGCTACTCAGGCATCAATCAGTTAAGTAATTTCCTGTTTAAACTGGGCAGGACTCTGATTTAGATTGGGGCTGTAAAAATACAGGGTAAAATTAAGAGTCAACACTAAGAAGATAAATTTTTTTTTATTCTCCTCCCCCATGCCTCCTTCTAGTACAGGAAACAGCATCACAGAATGATTTATCTGCACATGCATCCCTTAAAGACATCAATTTTTTTATTTCTTATACCCAGTTGGTATTCATTAATGAAATAACAAGATTTCCACACCATACCTATGTTAGGTATAATTTAAATGTATATTAAAACTGATGCCAGCAAGTATGGTCCCCATGAACCAGGGAAATTTTGTTAATAAAATCTCTATATTATAGGAAGGATGTAAAATTTTATAACATTGAAAAGCTTTTTTTGAAATACCTGACTAGACTTTACTTCTTCTTAAGAGACTACTCCCTGGATATAAGACAAATACTTTCAAAGTATGCTGAATTTTTTCAACACACTAATGATCACAGAGTATACTCATGTTACTTCATATAATGTAATAATAATATGTAGACTATAAAAGAATTTCATAGATATTGCTGATAATTATGATCTAATATTCCAGATTATGGATTTACTAATTGAGCTCATGGCCTAAAAGTTAATATACCTTGAAAATTGCCTAAGTACTTTCTCCACATTTTTTACTCTGTAAGGTAATAAAGGTCCACCCATTCTTTCCTACTGTCTTCATAGATTCCTTGACTTTTATTGAGGAGGCAGTATGGCACAATGGAAAAAAAATATGAGCTTAGGGCCGGGAGTGGTGGCTCATGCCTGTAATCCCAGCACTTTGGAAGGCCGAGGCGGGTGGATCACCTGAGGTCAGGAGTTCAAGACCAGCCTGACCAACATGGTGAAACCCTGTCTCTACTGAAAATACAAAATTAGCTGAGTGTGGTGGTGCATGCCTGTAATCCCAGCTACTTGAGAGGCTGAGGCAGGAGAATCACTTGAACCCAGGAGGTGGAGGTTGCAGCGAGCCGAAATAGCACCACTGCACTCCAGCCTGGGCAACAAGAGCAAAACTCTGTCTCAACAAAAAAATACATATATATATATATACACACACACACACACATAAATATGAGCTTAGGAGTTACACGGAACTTACTGTCTAAACTTGAATCAATTATTGAAGCTCTTCAAGTTGTGCTGCCCAGTATGGTTACTACTAGCCACATGTGGTTATTTAAATTGAAATTAAAATTATTAATAAATAAAAACTTCAGTCACATTAGTTCCATTTCAAGTGCTCAACAGCCATAATGTAGAGCACAGATATAAAACAAGCCCATCATTGCAGAAAATTCTAGAAAATGTCTTAATTAGGTTAACTATTATTAGGTTAAATATCTGAAAAAATGTGTATGCCATCCTGTTGATTATCACAAGGATTAAATAAGGAGTTATATTAAAATGGCTTACACTTGGTACATAGGCAATTAAGTTTAGTTTCCCATTCCTTCTGTTTGCTGAATAAAAAAATTAAGTGGCTCTGCTTATTCCTCATTTTTCTTTGCACATGTATTTCATGCTAATCAGGCTCTAGTGAGAACAGTGATAACAATAAAATCTATCCAACATATTTATTACCTCCAAACAAAAAAAGGTTGCAATTTTTGTCAAAAGAAATCAGGAAGACTGGCACACTAGGGTATCTACAAGTCTAAGTTATACTGGTGAAGTACATGTCACTATCTTAAAGAGGGAAAGCTAATGGTACAGCACATTGAAAATTTCTGAAAAAAGACTGGCAAGCTACAACTCTGGGCTAAATCTGGCCTGGACTCTAAGTTTAAAATGTTTTTAAAAAACATATTTAAAGATTTGTAAAAACAAAGAAGAATATATGACAAGAAATCTTATGCATGCTGCAAAGCCTAAAACATTTACCATGTGGCCATTTACAAAAAAAAAAAAAATTGCCAGCCTCCAATTTAGAAAACCAAATAAGATATTCAAAAAGTTATTAGAGTTTGGGGTGTTATAAAAAACTTACAGCCTCATGAGGCTGTCATTAATCAAACAGCATTAAAAGTGAGCAGAGATAATCGAGTTTTCACGAGAGGAAAGACCTTAACTTAAAACTATTTGTAACTCGAAATAATAACTCGTCAAGTCAAAATTACGACTTATTTAAAATCAATGAGAGATTAAATACTGGCTCTCTACAAAATATAACAGGTCCTAAAACAGATATCTCTCACATGGAAATTTACAAACAGCAGGGCTAAAATATGAGCATGAGGTAACTTACCCGTAAGACTCACCCCCTCCAACTGTGCCTGCAATAAAAATATAGCTGATTCTTGTTATTTCCAGCAGTTATATTCTATAAAGTAGCTGTGAATACTGATTTACAGAATACTGTACCATTTCTCCAGGGAAAAATACAGGGCGAGCTTCCTGTGATAGCAAGTTTTTTGAAGGTTTTTTATCATGAACTGATGTTGAATTTTATCAAATGCTTTTTCACCATCAGTTGAAATGATTATTATGATTTTAATCCTTCATTCTGTTGATATGATGTACCACACTAACTGATCTGCATATGCTGAACCATCCTTGCATCGCTAGGATAAATCCTACTTGGTCATGATGAATGATCTTTTGAATGTGTTTTGGAATTTGATTTGCTGGTATTTTGTTGAGGATTTTTGCATCAATATTCATCAGGGATATTGGTCTATAGTTTTCTTTATTGATGTGCTGTAATATCAGGGTAATATTAGCCTTGTAGAATGAGTTTGGAAGTATTCCCCTCTTCTCTGTTTTTCAGAATAGTTTCAGTAGAACTGGTATTTCTTCTTTAAATATTTGGTAAAATCCAGCAGTGAAGCCATCAAGTCCCAGGCTTTTCCTTCTGGGGAGATTTTTACTACATCTTCCATCTCATTGTTATCTGTCTGTTCAGATTTTGGATTTCTTCATGGTTCAATGTTGGTAGGTTGTGTGTGTCTGGGAATTTATCCATTTCTTCTAGATTTTCCAACTTATTGGCATATAGTTGATCACAGCAGCCACTAATGATCCTTTGAATGTCTGCAGTATTGGTTGAATGTCTCCTTTTTCATCTCTGATTTTATTTATTTGGGTGTTCTCTCTCTTTTGTTTTGTTAGTCTAGCTAAAGGTTTGTAAATTTCATCTTTTAAAACAACCAACGTTTTGTTTCATTGATCTTTTGTATTATTTTCTTCATTTCAATTTCATTTATTTCTGTTCTGATCTTTATTATTTCTTTTCTTCTACTGATTTTGTATTTGGTTAGCTCTTGCTATTAAGAATTTTTGTTTTGGGAGGTGTGAAGATGGCTGATTAGAAGCAGCCAGTGTATGCTGCTCTCAAGGAGAAGATACACAGTAGCCAGTGAACACAAGCTCTTCCACTGAATCATCCAGGAGGACATGCTGGAATTCATCAAGGGAGCACCATGACCCACAGAGAGCAGAAAAGTGCAAGACAGGACAGCTGCCCACCCAGGACTGGCAGGAAGACAAGGGGGGGCTCCTCACCACAGGGAAATGGTAAGTCAGCAAAAGCCCCCAGACACTCACACTTATGCCATGAACCTTTGCAGTCCTGGACACAGGAGATCCCCATAGACCCTCTATTCCCAAGGCCTCCAGACTGACACAGGTTGCCTGGAGTTTTCTGGGTGGGCAGAGTTGCCACTCAGGCACATAAGGATGCCCAAGGGCCTTGGACTCCTGAGCACTCTTGCACCAGCTACATAGCTCCACCAACAAGGGAGGCCAGACTCTCTCACATGCCCCCAGGATAGGGACCATATTCATGGTGCTGAGGAATGGACGGACTGCAGGCTTTGCCTCTGCTATACCTGTCTAGGCAAAGCCCACTGGCCTGGGATCCTAACACAACCACACCAACCCCACCTAAGAATTCAGGCCAATAGCAGCTCTGCAATTCTTCTGGGATAAACCTCCCAGAAGTAACTGACAGGACTGACATTTTTGCCAATGCCTCAGCCCCCACCTCTACTACACTCAGGCTGAGAAGGGAGAGAAGAGCCCAAAATATTGCTGGCCTCCAGCACACTGCAGCAGCCTTACAGAAAAGTGGCCAGATTATTTTCCATGCAGGTCTCTGCCAGTGCTACTCCTCACTGAGCAGAGCTTCCCTACCAGGGTCCCCAGTACAGCCACCCTACCCCAACCTGAGCACTTGGGCTGGCAGCAGCTCTGCATTTCCCTGAGATGGAGCTCCCAGAAGTAATCAAGAGACACACCACTTTTACAATTACTGCAGCAAAACAAAACAACAACAAATCTAAAGGACAGCAACATCAAACATTAAAGGAACGTCAGCCCACACATGAAAAAGAATGAGTGCAAGAACTCGGGCAACTGGAAAAGCCAGTGTCTTCTTACCTCCAAACAACAGCACTACCTCCACAGCAATGGTACTCAACCAGACTAAAGTGGTGGAAATGAAAGACAAAAGGTTTAGAATATAGATAGGAATGAAGAACATCAAGATTCAGAAGAAAGTTGAACCAAATCCAAAGTATTTAAAGAATTAAATAAAACAATACAAGAGTTGAAAGATAAAATTGCTATTTTAAGAACCAAAACCAATAGAAAGAACCGAAAAAATGTACTGTAAAAATTTCATAATATAATCAGAAGTACTAACAGCAGAAAAGACCAACCTGAGGGAAGAATCTGAGCTTGAAGATCAGTTCTTCCAATCAACTCAGTTAGACAAAAACAAAGAGAATAAAAAAGGAACAAAACCTCTGGAAATGTGGAATTATGTAAAGAGACCAAACCAATGACTCACTGGCATCCCTAAAACACAGAGAGAAAGATACAGTAACTTGGAAAACATATTTGAGAATATTGTCCATGAAAACGTCCCCAACCTCACTAGAAAGGTCAACATTCAAATTCAAGAAATGAATAGAAGCCATGTGAGACAGTATATAAGATGACCATCCCCAAGACACATACTCATCATATTCTTCAGGGTCAATGTGAAAAAATATTAAAGGCAGCTAGAGAGAAGAAGAAGGTCATCTGTAAAGGGAGTTCCATCAGGCTAAGAGTGGCCTTCCAGCAGAAATGCTATAAGCCAGAAGAGATTTGGGGCCTATATGCAGCATTCTTAAATAAAACAAATTCCAAGCAAGAATATCATATCCAGCCAAAATATGCTTCATAAGCTAATGAGAAATAAGATTCTTGTCAGACAAACAAATGCTAAGGAAATTTGTTACCACCAGATCTGCCTTACGAGAGGTCCTTAAAGGAGGGCTAAACATGGAAATGAAAGACTGTCAGTGGCACCACAAAAATCCCCTTAAGTACATAGACTACTGATACTACAAAGCAACCACACAATCAAATCTGCATATTAACCCGCTAACAACATGATGACAGGACCAAATCTGCACATATCAATGTTAAACTTGAATGTAAACAGGCTAAATGCCCCATTTGAAAGGCATGCAGTGGCAAGTTAGATAAAGAAGTAAAAACCAATTGTATGCTGCCTTCAAGAGACCCATCTCACATGCAGTGACATCCACAGGCTCAAATTAAATGGATGGAGAAAAATTCACCAAGGAAACACAATATGAAAAAGGGCAGGGGATGCTAATCTAATTTCACACAAAAAAGACTTTAAACCAATGATCAAAAAAGGACAAAGAAGGACATTATATAATAAGGAGTTCAAGAAGACTTAACAATACTAAATATATATGCACCCAATACTGGAGTGCCCAGATTCATAAAGTAAGTTCTAGTTCTTAGATACCTACAAGGAGATTTACATAAATAGACAATAACAGTGGGAAACCTCAACACCCCACTGGCAGTACTAGAAATATCAACACAGAAAACTAACAAAGATACCAGGACCTGAACTTGACACATGACCATATGGATCTAACAGACATCTACATAACACTCCACCCAACAAAAACAGAATATACATTAATCTCATCTGCACATGGCACATACTCTAAAATTGACCACACAATCAGCCCTAAAGCAGTTCTCAAAAAATACACACACAAAAAAAACTGAAATCATGCCAATCACATTCTCAGACCACGTGCAATTAAAAAAAAAAAAGTCGATACCAAAATCTCTCAAAACCATACAATTACATGGAAATTAAACAATATGCTCCTGAATTACTTTTGGGTACACAATGAAATTAGGGCAGAAACCAAAAAATGATTTGAAACTAATGAAAACAAAGATACAACATACCAGAACCCCTGGGACACAGCTAAAGCACTATTAAGAGGAAAGTTTATAGCACTGAAAATCCACATCAAAAAGCTTGACAGATCTCAAATTAACATCACCTAACATCACACCTAGAGGAATTTGAAAAACAAGAACCAACCAACCAAAAAGGTAGCAGAAGAAAAATAATAACCAAAATCATAGAGCAACTCAATATAATAGAGATGTGAAAAACGACACAAAAGATAAAAAAAAGTTGGTTTTTTGAAGAAATAAATAAGACTGAGAGACAACTAGCTAGACTAATAGTGAAAAAAAGAAGATCCAAATAAACACAATCAGAAATGACAAATGGAACATTACCACCAACTACATGGAAATACAAACAACCCCCAGAAACTATTATGAAATCCTCTATGAACACAAGCTAGAAAACCTGGAAGAAACAAATAAATTCCTAGAAATATATACCACCCAAGATTGAACCATGAAGAAATTAAAACTCGGAACACAGAAATAATGAGTTCAGAAATTTAATCAGTAATAAAAAGCCTACCAACCAGAAAAAAAAAAAAAAAAAAAAAAAAAACTTGTACCAGATAGATTCACAGCTTAGTTCTACCAGATGTATAAAGAAGAGCTGGTACCAATCCTACTAAAAGTATTCCAAAAATTGAGGAGGAGGGACTCCTCCCTAACTCATTCTATGAGGCTAGCATCATTGTAATACCAAAACCCCACAGAAACACAACAAAAGAGGAAAACTTCTGGCCAATACTCTGATAAACATAGATGTAAAAATTCTAAACAAAATACTAGAAAGCCAAATCTAGGAAAACATCTAGGAAATACTAGAAAGCCAAATCTAGGAAAACACCACGACCAAGAAGGCTTTAAACCTGGGATGCAAGGGTGGTTTAATGGATGCAAATTAAGAAATGTAATTAATCACATAAACAGAACTAAAAACAAGACCCTATGATCCTCTTAATAGACGCAAAAAAGGATTTCAGTAAAATTCAACAACCTTTGTCAAATGCATAGTTTGCGAATATTTTCTCCCACTCTGTAGGTTGTGTTTTGTCTGCTGATGATTTCTTTTGCTGTGCAGAAGCTTTTTAGTTTAATTAGGTGCCATTTGTTTATTTTTGTTTTTGTTGTATTTGTTTTGGGGGTCTTAGTCATGAATTCTTTGCCTAGACTGATGTCTACAAGAGTTTTTACAATGTTGTCTTCTAGAATTTTTATAGTTTCAAGCCTTATATTTAAGGCTTTGATCAATCTTGAGTTGACGTTTGTATATGGTGACAGATAGGGATCCATTTTCATTCTTCTATGTGCGGCTTACCAGTTATCCCAGCACCACTTGTTCAATAGGGTATCCTTTCCCTACTTTATGTTTTTGTATGCTTTGTCGAAGATCAGTTGGCTGTATTTGGCTTTATTTCTGGGTTCTCTATTCTGTTCCATTGGTCTATGTGCCTAGTTTTACACCAGTACCATGCTGCTTTGGTAACTATAGCCTTATAGTACAGTTTGAAGTCAGGTGTACTAGTCTGTTTTCACACTGCTGATAAAGACATATCCAAGACTGGGCAATTTACCAAAGAAAGAGGTTTAATGGACTCACAGTTCCACATGGCTAGGGAGGCCTCAAAATCATGGCAGAAGGTGAAAGGCACGTCTCATATGGCAGCAGACAAGAGAAGAATGACAGCAAAGCAAAAGGGGTTTCTCCTTATAAAACCATCAGATCTCATGAGACTTACTCACTACAAAGAGAACAGTATGGGGGAAACCGCCCTGATGACTCAATTATCTCCCACAACATGAGCAAATTATGGGAGCTACAATTCAAGATGAGATTTGGGTGGGAACACAGCCAACCCATATCATCAGGTAATGTGATGCCTCCAGATTTGAAAAAGACACATACACACACGTTTATAGCAGCATCTTTTGCAATTGCAAAAATATGGATCCAACCAAAATAACCATCATCCAAGGAGTGGATAAAGAAAATGTGTGATATATACACCATAGAATACTACTCAGCCATAAAACAGAATGAAATAATGGCCTCTGCAGCAACTTGGATGGAGTTGGAGGCCATTAGTCTAAGTGATGTAACTAAGGAATGGAAAACCAAATATTGTATGTTTTCACTTATACATGAGAGCTAAGCTTGAGGAGAGCTAATACATGAGGATGCAAGACATAATAACAATATAATGGGCTTTGGGGACTCCAGGGGAAGGATGAGAGGGATGCAAGGGAAAAAAGACTACATACTGGGTACAGTGTACACTGCTCAGGTGACGTGTACACCAAATCTCAGAAATCACTACTAAAGAACTTATCCATGTAACCAAAAACCACTTGCTCCCCCAAAACTATTGAAATAAAATTTTAAAAATAAAATAAAATTCAACAACCCTTCATTTAAAAAACCCTCAACAAATTAGGCATCAAAGGAACATACCTCAAAATAATAATAGCCATCTATGACAAACTCATAGCCAACATCTAACTGAATGGGCAAAATCTGGAAGCATTCCCTTTGACAACTATAATAAGACAAGGATGTGCACTCTTTTCATGCCTAGTCAATATAGTACTGGAAGTCCTAGCCAGGAGTCAGGCAAAAGAAATATATAAAATTGATCCAAATATGAAAAGACAAAGTCTCTTCAAAGAAGATATGATCTTATACCTAGAAAACCCCATAGTCTCTGTCCAATAGGTTGTGGTTCTAATAAACAACTCCAGCGAAGTTTTGGGATACAAAATAAATATTTGAAAAATCAGGAGCATTTCTATAAATTATCAACATCCAGGTAGAGAGCCAACTTAAGAATACAATCCCATTCACAATAGCCATGAATAGAATAAAATACCTGGGAATACAGCTAACCACAGAGGTGAAAGATCTCTACAATCAGAACTATAAAACACTGCTGAAAGAAATCAGAGATGACACAAACAAATGGGAAAACATTCCATGCTCATGGATAGGAAGAATCAATATTTTTTAAATGGTCACACTGCCCAAAGCAATTTACAGATTCAAGTTATTCCTATCAAACTACCAACGACATTTGTCACAGAAGTAGAAACAACTATTCTAAAATTAATATGGAATCAAAAACAAGCCCAAATAGCCAAAACTATTCTAAGTAAAAAGAACAAAGCTGGTGTCATCACACTTCCTGACTTCAAACTACAGTACAAGGCTATAGTAACCAACACAGCATAGTACTGGTACAAAAACAGACACATAGACCAATGTAACAGGTTAGAGGTTAGAGAACCCAGGTCAGATGTTGGAGAACCCAGAAATAAAGCCACACAACTGTAACCATCTGATCTCTGACAAACTCAACAAAAACAAGTAATGGGTAAAGAATTCCCTATTCAACAAGTGGTGCTGGGATAACTGGTGGGCCCTATGCAGAAGATTAAAACTAAACTTCTGCCTTTCACCATACACGAAAATCAACTCAAGATGGATTAAAGACTTAAATGTAAAGCCTAAAAAAATAAAAACCCTGAAGAAAAGCTAGAAAATACCATTCTGGACATCAGCCCTGGCAAAGGTTTCCCAGCAAAGACACCAAAAGCAATTCCAACAAAAGCAAAAATTGACAAATGGAACCTAATTAAACTAAAGAACATGTGCACAGCAAAAGAAACTATTAAACAGATAACTTACTGAATATGAGGAAATATTCACAAACTATGCATCTAAAAAGGTCTCATATCCAGAATCTACGCAAAACTTAGACAATCGAACAAGCAGAAAACAATTTACCCCATTAAAAAATGGGGAAAAGATCTGAACAGACACTTGACAAAAGATAACATACAAGTGGCCAACAAATACATGAAAATAAGCTCAACAGCACTAATTATCAGAGAAATGCAAATCAAAACCACAGTGAGATACCATCTCACACCAGTCAGAATGGCTATTATAAAAAATCAAAAAACAGCAGATGCTGGTGAGGCTGCTGAGAAAAGGGAACATTATACACTGATGGTGGGAATACAGATTAGTTCAGCCACTGTGGAAAGCAGTTTGGATATTTCTCAGAGAAATTAAAACAGAACTATCATTTGACTCAGCAATCCCACTACTGGGTATATATCCAAAGGAATATAAATTATTTTACCATATATACATGCACTCATGTGTTCATCACAGCACTATTCACGATACCAAATACATGGAATAAACCTAGGTGCCCATCAGTGTTGTACTGAATATAGAAAATGAGATACATATACACCATGGAATACTATGCATCCATAAAAAAGAAGAAAGCATGTCCTTTACAGCAACATGGATGCAGCTGGAAGTCATTATCCTAACTGAATTAATGCAGGAACAGAAAATCAAATACTGCATGTTCTCACTTATAAGTGGAAACTAAACATTTGGTACACACGGACATATAGATGGGAACAACAGACACCGAGGACTAGTAGATGGGGGAGGGAGGGAGAAAAGAATTGAAAAACTATTGGGTAATATGCTCACTACCTGGGTGATGGGATCAAACCCCATACATCAGCATCATTCAATATACTCTTGTAACAAACCTGCACATGTACCCCTAAACCTAGAATAAAAGTTGAAATTATTAAAAAAAAAACAAACAGGTGCCAACTAGAATTTAATTATGAAGCCTATTATTTTTACTAAAAACATAAGGCTGATTTCTATAATTATTCTCTATCATGTAGCATTTTTGTAAAATAATATTTATAAAACATTTCAATAATCGGTTTTATTACTTCTAGTCTAACAACATTATGGGGAAACATGATCAAATACAACCTGATTCTAAAATAAAAGAGGAGAAAAAAAGTCATTCTGCAAGAAAATATACTTTTCCCCAATAACACCTATCTTGACTAATGGTATTTTTTTTTTATTTAGAAAATATATATTGTGTGACTCAGCTATCTAGAACTTTTCAGCTTCTAGAGGAGTTCCTCAACCAGCAAAGGGGGAAAAGAAACAAGACATTTTCAAAATCTCTTGTGGCCAAAAACCTGTCCTGGAACATCCAGTGACCAACACAAAGGGAGAAAAACCAAGAGCTGAGTGTTAGAGGTAAGGTTACTCCAGTTGGCCACTTCTGATTATAAAAGTTAAGATTATACATACCAAAAGTCACAAAATGGGAGAAGTAACAAGGAATAGAAGAGTTAAGAAATAATAAAAAGAGAATAAAAGTACCAGAGGCACAGTATGGCTGGCAAAGGAAAAGAACCAGCAACAAAGCTACAAATGCATGATGGAAAAGCTCTACAGTCTGGTAGTGTTATGGTACCTGTGCCACACCTCATTATAATGTCCCTGAAAAGAAAAGAGATCTCTGATGACAATGTGTTTGTTCTGTATTTAAGGAGTGCATACTATGTGCCAGGTGCTTTATACAGATCTAGTCTTTTTAATCTTCACAATAATCCAATATAGTGGGTCTTATTTAAGATGCTTTTGGCTAAAATTCTGGAATCTCCAACTTAAACTGGCTTCAACAATGAAAAAAACTTATTCTCCATATAACAAAGTCTAGGAGCAGGCAGACATAAGGATTGGTTAATTCACTAGCTTACTGAGAATCCAGGTTCTTCCATTTTTCGCTGTTGCCCACATCAAAGTGCCATTTAAAATGATGCATAGCATCTGGTGTTTTCTTGAAAACTAAATATTAAGAATACTAAGAGAAAGGAGTGACCTGTAACACAGCTCTAAAAGTCAAATACTCTGAAGATGAATGTGCTGACAAAATAACACCTGTGGTCTAATATAATAGCAATGGAAAAGGGGTAATTAACATTTGCTGAACGCCTACTATGCACCAGAAAGTATTTGGATACAAGTAAAGAACACAAATACCAGCAGTGGCCTTTGGAGAACAGAAAAACACTTGGAAAAAGGCTGCCTTTGATTCACTGAGCATGTCACCCTGCCCACAAAGCCAAGAAGTTGTATATATTTCAATTCACAATTATGGAAGAAAAAGCAAATGACACCAGCAACTTTTTCAATATAGCACTTTCTAAGACTATTTCCGGGCTCAATACCCATTCAGGTCCACTATCTATACCTTCACTTAGATAACAAACACAACATATTACAATTGGCAAAGTTAAAAACTAAAGATACTGAGTTACGAAGAAAGGGTTCAACTGTCGGGTTTAACATAGGTGGGAGTTACGTAGTACATTCAAGATATAACGTTCATCAAAATTAGAGCTCTAGCACTTAAAAGACCAATCTTAAGTTTCCTACAACAAATAAGTGTCTAGATCAGTGTGGTTGTATTATGAAATTATACAATATTAATGGTAAAGCATTTCAAGAACTAAGTTACTTTAATTATGATGTATGAAAGAATTATTCTGAAATTTCTGAACATATTAATCATTCAATAATTGTGGTGCAATTATTACTGGGTAATATTTGAAAGTATCAAAATTTTATCTTAGATCAATAAAAATCTAACTAGAAAATTAAAAATAAAAACATACACAGGGAGTATATTTACACAATTAAACATCTTTTTTAAAACTTTTTTTTTTTTTTTGAGAAGGAATTCCACTCTTGTTGCCCAGGCTGGAGTGCAATGGCGCGATCTCGGCTCACTGCAACCTCCGCCACCCAGGTTCAAGTGATTCTCCTGCCTCAGCCTCCCAGGTAGCTGGGATTACAGGCATGTGCCACCACGCCCGGCTAATTTTGTATTTTTAGTAGAGACCGGGTTTCTCCATGTTGGTCAGGCTAGTCTTGAACTCCCGACCTCAGTTGATCGGCCCGCCTTGGCCTCCCAAAGTGCTGGGATTACAGGCATGAGCCACCGCGCCCAGCCACAACTAAACATCTTAAAAATCCTCCAGAAATGGCACAACAGATCAGCAAAATTCCACTTTAGCCAGTTTGTTAATCAGGCTAAAGTATTTTATGAGTATTTTTTTAGACATTTTAATCAGTACATTGACAAATACCGAATATTGCCAAACTCAGTAATCAGATTTTGAAAAACACCTAACAGCCTCCTTTGACACACACATATATACACATATGCTATATCTGGGGAAAAAAATTAGGCTGTATCTCCCTGGTGGAAACGTGGGAGAGGAATATTGAGAGCATTCTATTTACTTGAAAAGATTGTAGCACTCCAATAAAAGATGATTTTAAAGTTGTTGTCAGTTTAGAATTCAGACGTTACAAAATTTCAAAACAGGATTAAATAAGCTATACAGAAATGCTGAACTGATCTTTCTAAAATACTGTTTGTTCTCTCAGCTCTACAAACAACCTTTACCGCCTTCCTCTGGCCCTAGCCAAATTAATCTTCCTAGGCCCCAAACATGTCAAGCACATTCCTCCCTCAGTGCCTTCACATGCTGCATGTGTTGTACTAGAATGCCCTCTCCTCTCCTGTACCTAACAGTACTTGGCACACAGCAGGTACTCAAAAAAATAATTATTGAATGAATACACTTACCAAAACCCTGCCCTTCACTGAAGGACTGGCTCAATTCCCACTAGTTCACTCAAAGACATCTCTCTGAATTCATACAGTTCATATTTTTGTGAGGCACTAATCCGGTGTTTAACAAATATAACATTATATTATTATTTATCTTTTTGAAATATATGCAGCCTATTTTTCTATTAAATATAGACTCCTGTGAGTAGTCTTAGACCTCTCATATCCAAAAGACTTTGCACGACTAAGGACCTTAAAACTAAATAATAAAATGATACGCAGGTTTAAATAGGGCAGTACACACAGAGAATCTAAGTCATTTTACGTAATAACATTTATGAGATGCCTATATACCAAGCATTTGTGGAGGCAAACAACTAAAGGCCCTAAAGCGAAACTGAAATTGTAAGACTGATTCAGCAATCTTAACTTTTTGAAAATCTAATGAAAGTTATTAACTATCTTAGCTCAACATGTACTTACTCTGAAATTTTTGCATATGCTTGCAGGCCAACACACTCTGAGGCATTTGAGGACCCAATCAATCTGGCTCCAACACAAATGAAATTTATCACAAGTACATTTTATCCTGATATGCAGATACAAAATTCCCTCAGGATTGCTCTAAGAATCAAATACAATTCTGGTGAACTCTGAAAAATTATTTTATTATTTTTAATTTCTATGTATCTACTATTTCAATAGTTTTTGGAGTACAAGTGGTTTTTGTGTACATGGGTGAATTGTATAGAGGTAAACTATGAGATTTTAGTGCACCCATAACCCAAACAGTATACATTTTAACCTAATATGTACTTTTTCATCTTGAGTCCTCCTTCCACTCTGCCCCTTCGGAGTCTCCAAATTCCATTACACTACTCTGTAAGTCTTTGCATACCTATAGCTTAACTCCCACTTATAAGTGAGAACAGAGGGTATTTGGCTTTCCATTCCTGAGTTACTTCATTTAGAAGAATGGCTGCCAGTCCCATCCAAGTTGCTACAAAAGACATTCTTTCACTGTTATTTGTGGATGAGTAGTATTCCGTGGTGTATACACAACACTACATTGTATTTATTTATCTACTTATTTATTTTTAATTCAATAGCTTTTGGGGTACAAGTGGTTTTTGGTCACATGGATGAATTATGTAGTAGAAATTTTAGTGCACCTGTCACCTGAGCAGTGAACATTATACCTAAGGTGTAGTGTTTTTTTTTAATCCCTGACCCACCTCCCAGTATACCCATTCTGACTCTCTAAAGTCCATTATATCACTCTGCATGCCTCTGTGTACTCATAGCTTAGCTCCTACTTATAAGTGAGAACATATGGTTTTTGGTTTTCCACTCCTGTGTTACTTCACTTAGAATAATGACTGCCAGCTCCATCCAAGATGCCACAAAAGACATTATTTCATTTCTTTTAATGGCTGAGTAGTATTCCATGCTGTATATATACCACATTTTCTTGATCTATTCATTGGTTGATGGGCATTTAGGTTGGTTCCATGTTTTTGCAATTGTGAGTTGTGCTGCTATAAACATGCATGTGCATGTCTTTTTCATATCATGACTTCTTCTCCTTTGGGTAGACACCCAGTAGTGGGACTGCTGGATCAAGTGGTAGACATACTTTTAGTTATTTAAGGAATCCCCATACTGTTTTCCATAGTGGTTGTACTAATTTACACTCCAGCAGTGTAAAAGTGTTCCCTTTTCACCACATCCACATGAACAGCTACTGCTTTTTGGCTTTTTAATTATGGCCATTCTTGCAGAAGTAAGTGGTAGCTCATTGTGGATTTAATTTGTATTTCCCTGATGATTAGTGATGTTGAGAATTTTGTAATATGTTTGATGACTGTACATCTTTTGAGAAATGTCTATTTATGTTCTTTGCCCACTTTTTGATGGGATTATTTGTTTTTCTTGGTGATTTGAGTTCCTTATAGATTCTGTTTGATAATACTACACAACAAATTTCCATTATAATTGCTTGAGACTTTTGATGTTCACTGTGACGAGAAACAGGTTATTAGTCCACTGGCATGAAGAAAGTGAGAATTAAACTGAGATCTGAAGATCAGAAGAAATATTGCACTACACTAGGTACTGGGAAAAAAAAGAATTCTTCTAAAACAAAATAACAGCAGAAGCTAGCAATTATTGAACATTTGAAATAGCCCTAGCATAGTGTTGTGCACATTACCTATTACCAATTTAGTATTTTCCAGTATAAAAACCCTGGGAAACAAGTACAATTCTTATTTTAATTACTCAGATAAGAAAACACACTTAGATCATTTATGTGATCTGCCCAAAGTTATATAGCTTTTATATGATAGGGCAGGGAAATTCTCATGTGAGTCCAGTTAAAATGGCTTATATCCAAAAGACAGGCAGTAATAAATGCTGGCAAGGATGTGAAGAAAAGGGAACCCTTGTATATTGTTTCTGGGAATGTAAGTTAGTACAATTACTATGGAGAACACTTTGGAGGTTCCTCAAAAAAACTAAAAATTGAGCTACCATATAATCCAGCAATCCCACTGCTGGATATATACCCAGAAGAAAGGAAATCAGTATAGCCAACAGATATCTGCACTCTGTTTGTTGCAGCAATGTTCACAATAGCTAAGATTTGGAAACAACCTAAGTGTCCACCAACAGATCAATGAATAAAGAAAATGGGGTATCTATACAAGATTAAGTACTATTCAGCCACAAAAAAGTGTGAGATCCAGTATTTTCAACAAGGATGAAACTGGAGGTCATTATGTTAAGTGAAATAAGTCAGGCACAGAAAGACAAAGATCGTATGTTCTCACTTACTTGTGAGATCTAAAAATCAAAACCATTGAATTCATGGACATAGGGAGTAGAAGGATGATTACCAGAGGCTGGGAAGGATAGTGATAGGGGTAAGGGGAGATGTGGGAATGGTTAGTTATTACAAAAAAAAAAAAAATCAATCAGACCTACTATTTGGTAGCACAATAGTGCGACTAGAGTCAATAATAACTTAATTGTTCATTTTAAAAGAACTTAAGGAGTGCAACTGGACTCCTTGTAACTCAGAGGATAAATGCTTGAGGGAATGGATACCCCATTCTCCATAATGTACTTATTTCACATTGCATGCCTACGTCAAAATATCTCATGTGTCCCATAAATATATACATGTACTATGTACCTACAAAACTTTTAAAAAACATGAAAATAAAAGAGAGAGATTTGATTACAGAAGAGTATCATAGTGAGGCAGAATGTGTAGGATTTGCATAGCCATTATTGGCTTTCAAAATGGAAGAAGTCATCATGAGACTAGGAATGCTGATGGTCTCTAGCAAATACAAAAGGCAAAGAAATGGATTCTCCCCTAAAACTCCCAGAAGGAACACATGCCTGCCAACACCTTGTTTTAGACTTATGACCTCCAGAACTGTGAGGAAACAAATTTTTGTTGTTTTTGGCCACTGAGGCTGTGGTAATCTGTTACAGCAGCTATAAAAACTTAATAGAAGTGTCAAACCACCAAGAATCATTTTTTAAAACAACTAAACGTAATTACCATAGGACTCAGCAATCATACTGCTGGGCATTTATACCAGTAAAATGAAATTTATATCCACAAAAAATCCTGTACACAATTGTTTGTAGCAGCTTTATTTGCAACAGCCCAAACTGGAAACATTCACTTGGTTCTTGAATGGCAGTATGAAAAGCTTGATGAAACTTCTCCCTCAGTGAGACACCTATCAAACTAGTAAAAATTAGCAAATTCTCTGAATATTGATCAAATCACTTACAACAAATTGATATGCATTTATTCAACAAAATCTATAGAACTTGGTAAGAAGCGTGGGAGGCAATGGCATTCATGGCGACTTAAACCCTAACATATCAATAACTGAATTACATGTAAATTGTTTAAATATACTAATTAAGGCAGATATTGGCAGAGTGGATGAAAAATACTGACCCAAACTATTCATCTAACAGAGCATTAGTATCCGGAATATATATCAGATAGCTGAGACTTCATGCTATATGGGAAAGAGACATCACAGTTAGTCCAGGAAAGCCACCAAACAAATAAGTGAACAAACATGCAACACCAATAACAAGCGTGAAGTGGGGTTGTGAAGTGTTATCAGAAACCAGAGTTGCTCCAATATATTATCTAAAACGTCCGTTATATAGTTTGGATATTTATCCCTTCCCAAATCACATGTTGAATATTAATCCCCAATATAGGAAGTGGGGGCTGGCAGTGGGAGGTGTTTGGGTCATGGCAGCAGATCCCTCATGGCTTGGTGCTGTCTTCACGACAGTGAGTTCGTGAAATCTTGTTGTTTAAAAGTCTGTGGTACCTTCCCTTCTCCCTTTCTCCTTCCCTCCCCCGACTTCTCTTGCTTCTGCCATGTAAGATGCTTGTTCCAGCTTCACTTTCCACCATAATTCGAAGCTTCCTGAGAATCTTCACAGAAGCAGATGCTACCATGCTTCCTGTAAAGCCTGCAAAACTGTGAGCCAATTAAACCTCTTTTCTTTATAAATTACCCAGTGTCAGGTATTTCCTTATAGCAGTGCCAGAATGCCTAACACAGAAAATTGGTATCAGGAGTGGGGCATTGCTATAAAGATACCTGAAAATTTGAAAGTGACTCTGCAACTGGGTAATGGACAGAGGTTGGAAAAGTGTGGAGGGCTCAGAAAATAGGAAGATGAGGGGAAGTCTGGAACTTCTTAGAGACTGGTTAAATGGTTTTGACCAAAATGCTGACAGTGATATGGACAATGAACTCTAGGCTGCTGAGGTCTGAGATGGAAATGAGGGTATTTTGGGAACTGGAGCGAAGGTCAGCCTTGCTATGCCTTAGTAAAGAACTTGGCTACATTGTGTCCATGTCCTAGGGATCTGATGACCTAGCCTATCTGGTAGAAAAAAAAATTCTAAGTAGCAAAGCATTCAAGAAGTGATGTGGCTGCTTGTAACAGCCTACACTGAGATGCAAGAACTAATAAATGACTTAAAGTTAGAAATTACATTTAAACAGAAGGCAGAGCATAAAAGCTTGAAATATTTGCAGCCTGGCCATGTGGCAGACAAAGAAAAAGCTTTTTCAAACAGGCTGCTGAGCAACCACCTGCTAGAGATAGTCATATAACTAAAAGGGAGCCAAGGGCTAATATCCAAGACAATGGGGAAAAGGCCTTGAAGGTATTTCAGACACTTTTGCAGCAGCCCCTCCCATCACAGGCCCAGGGGCCCAGGAGAATAAAGGGTTTTGTAGGCCAGGCTCAGGGCCCCATAGCCCTGCACAGCCTCAGAACACTGTTTCCCATATACCAGCCACTCTAGCTCCAGCCATGGCCCAAAGGGGCCCTGGTTGAGTTCAGGCTACCACTCTGGAGAATGCAAGACATAAGTCTTGGTAGCTTCTCTGTAGTGTTCAGCCTGTACAGGTGCAGAATCCAGCAGTGATAAATACTTGGCAGCCTCTTCCCTGAGGATATATGAGGATACTGAGGATATATGAGAAAGCCTCTGTACTGAGGCAGGAGCCTACTGCAGAGGTGGAGCCCTCACAGAGAACCTCTACTATGGCAGTGCCAAGGGTTGGAGCCCCCACACACTATGGCAGTGCCAAGGGTTGGTCCCCAATAGAGCACTGCCTAGTGGAGCTGTGAGAAAGGGGATACCAACCTCCAGACCCCAGAATGGTAGATTCACCAGCTGCTTGCACCCTGCACCTAGAAACGCTACAGTCATTCAAATCCAATCCATAAGAGCAGCCCTGGGGGATGAATCCTGCAAAGACACAGGGGTGGAGCTGCCCAAGGCCTTGGAAGCCCACCCTTTGCAGCAGTGTGCCCTGGATATGGAACGTAGAGTCAAAAGAGATTATTTTGGAGCTTTAAGATTTAATGACTGCCCTGCTGGGTGTTGAATGTACATGGGGCATGTAGCCCATTTATTTTAGCTGATTTCTCCCTTTTGGAAAGAGAATGTTTACCTAATGCCTATACCCAACAAATAAAAAACCTGTCTTTTATTTGACAGGCTTATAGGTGGAAGGGACTTGCCTTGTCTCAGATAAGACTTTGGACTTTGCAATTTTGAGTTAACACTGGAAGGAGTTAAGACTTTTGGGGACTGTTGGGAAAGTACGATTGTATTTTGCAATGTGGGAAGGACATGAGATTTAGGAGGCGCCAGAGGTGGAATGATGTAATTTGGATATTTGTCCCTGCCCAAATCTCATGTTGAATCACAATCCCCAATGCTGAATGCGAGACCTAGTGGGAGGTGTTTGCATTATGGGGGCAGATCCCTTATGGCTTGGTGTTGTCTTCATGACAGTGAGTGAGCTGTTGCGAGACCTGGTCATTTAAAACTGTGTGGAACCTCCCCTCCCCACATACTCTCTGTCTCTCTCTCTTGCCCTTTCTCTTGTCATGGGAGATGCCTGCTCCTCCTTTTGTAGTCTGCCATGATTGGAGGCTTTGTGAGGCCTCCCCAGAAGCAGATGCCACCATGCTTCCTGTAAAGCCTAAACAATCGTGAGCCAATTAAACCTCTTTTGCTTATAAATTACCCAGTCTCAGGTATTTCTTTATAGCAATGCACAAATGGCCTAACACAGTTCAGTTTACAACAATGGTCTGTACCCATACCCATTCAGAGCTCTGTTTTGAAAGAGCTATTTCAAAGAGCTCACCAGCAGACTGGCAACTCTCATCTTTCCCAATTCCCCGAGCTAAAAGAGATATTCCAGATGGATTTGGCAGATGGTGAAAACTGGGAAATATGCTGCTTTCTCAGCCAAAGCTTCTGCCCCATAGAGAGGATTCAGAAAAGACGGCTGCTGGCGAAAAGTCCAGTTCCCTAGTCCCTCATAGCTCTGTGTGACTGAAGAGCTGGTCTAGGAGTTAAAACACCCATGTGGAATCTTGCATATCTCTCAACTTTATGGTGCAAAAGTGGTATCCCAGTTAGATATGGCAGGGGTTCTTCCCAGGGGAAAACTGGATCAAGCGTGAAAACTGGCAACACTCTAACTTTGCCAAGCAACTAGACTTTATCTGGATAAAACTGCAGGGCAATTTATGCTCCGGATTGTTATCAAAAACAACAGAACTAACAGCAATCAGTGGAGACTAAAAGTTTGGTATGATATAAATAGAAGCCAAGAGCCGTTATTGGGGAGATCAGAAAAAGAGACAAAGAGAACTCCACAAATACTAGTCATCACTAGTGGCCCAGAATACTAGGCACATACCCAAGGCTGCATACTCCGAGGAATGCTTGAAGAGAAAAATGATTATCTAGTTCTTGGCTGAATATGAGGCAACCTCAAGCTCCTTGAACTGTGAAAGCACTCTCCAAGCTACCAACAGAATCAACAGTAAAGGGTAAACACCTTGCTGGTTTAAAATGCTTAATCACAACCTCTGGCCAACCACTGATCACTAAGCATGCTGACACAGAGGCAATCCCTAGAAATCTAGGCCTAAAGATAAAAACAGA
Source organism: Homo sapiens (assembly GCF_000001405.40). Lineage (NCBI taxonomy): Eukaryota > Metazoa > Chordata > Mammalia > Primates > Hominidae > Homo > Homo sapiens. The sequence continues at coordinate 85,024,068 of NC_000023.11, read as the reverse complement.
AAAAAAGTATCTAGGCAGGGATATCTGAGACTTCATACCATGTTACAAATAGACTTCACCGAGTAAGTCCAAGAAAGTCACTAAACAAATAAGGGAACAAACAACAACAACAAGAAGCCTGGGGTGGGATGAAGGGTGCTATTGGAAACCAGAGTTGCTACAATATATTATCTAAAATGTCCCATTTACAACACAAAAATATAAAACATGCAAATAAACGGGAAGTTTTGACCCAATAGAAATTATCTTAGAGAAAATCCAGATGGATGCAGTGATATTCTCTTTCTTCTTATATTTCTGTCTTGAAAGCTATTTTGTCTGGTGGACTTACTCTGGACTCTACTCTGTTGCCTTAATCTGTGTGTATGTATTAATGCCAGTGCCAAGCTTTTTTATTATTATAGCGTTGGAATAGATTTTCAAATCATGCAATGTGATGCCTCTGGCTTTCTTCTTTTTGCCAATATTGTTCTGGCTGTTCGGAGTCTCTTCTGGTTGCATATGGATTTTAGGATTGTTTTTCTGTTTCTGGGGAAAGTGTCATTGAAATTTTGATAGGGATTGCACTGAATATGTAGACTGTTTTGGGTAGTACGGACATTTTAATAATATGAATTCTCTCAATTCATAACCATGGGATAGCTTTCAATTTCTGTCTTCCATTTCATCCCTGTTTTAAAGTTTTCAGTGTGAAGATCTTTCACTTACTTGGCTAAATTTATTTCTAAGTATTTTTTATAGTAGCTATTTTAAAAGAAATAATTTTCTTGATTTTTTTGGATAGTTCACTGTTAGTGTATAGAAACACTGATTTTGTATGCTGGTTTTGTATTCTTCAACTTTACTAAATTTATTTATTACTTTTAAAAGATTTTTGTGTAGTCTAGGGTTTTCTGTATATAAAGATCATGTTGTTTCAAACAGGGTCTTAGTCCTTTTGTGTTGTTATGAAGGAATATCTGAGACTGGGTAATTTATAAAGAAAAAAGGTTTATTTGGCTCATGATTCAGCTGGCTGGAAGGCTAGATACATGGCAAGAGAGGAAGCAAGAGAGAGAGTGGAGGTGCCAGGCTCTTTGTAACCACCAACTCTTGCAGGAAATATGGAGTGTAAACTCACTCATTATAGTAAGGACTGCACCAAACCATTCATGGGGGATCTGGCCCTGTGACCCAAACATCTACCATGAGGACCCACCTCCAACATTGGGAAACAAATTTCAATATGAGGTTTGGGGAAAAATACATCCAGATTATAGCATAAGGACAATTGAACTTCTTCCTTCTCAATTGAGATATCTTTTATTTCTTTCTCTTGCCTAATTGCTCTAGGTAGGACTTCCAGTACTATATTAAATAGAAATGGCAAGAGTGGGCATCCTTGTCTTGTGCTTGGTCTTAGAGGAAAAGCTTTTAGCTTTAGCTTTTCACCATTGAGTATGATGTTAAATGTAGGATTCTTATACATGGCCTTTACCATGTTTAGGTATATTCCTTGTATAACTAATTTCTTGAAGTTTTTATCATGAAAGGATGTTGAATTTTGTCAAATGCCTTTTCTGCATCTATTGACATGATCATATGGCTTTTGTCCTTCCTTTTGTTAATGTCATATGTCACATTTATTGATCTGCATATTTTGAACCATCCTTCCATCCCTTGGATAAATCCCACTGATCAGGGTAAACGATTATTTTAATGTGCTGTTGAGTTCAGTTTACTAGTATTTTGTTGAAGACTTTTGCATCTAAGTTCATCAGGAATACTGACCTGTAATTTTCTTTTCTTGTTGTATCCTTGTCTGGCTTTTGTATCATGGTAATGCTGGCCTTGTAAAATACATTTGAAAGTATTGTCTGCTGTTCAGTTTTTGAAGAGTTTGAGAAGAACTGGTATTACTCCTTTTTTAAATGTTTGGTAGAATTCAGCAGTGAAGCCATCGTGTCCTCGGCTTTTCTTTGACAGACTTTTTACAAGTGACTCAATCTCCTTATTCATTAGCGCTCTGTTCAGATTTTCTATTTCTTTGTAATTCAGTCTTGGTAAGTTGTATGTGTCTAGCAATTTATCAGTTTTTTTCTAGGTTATCCAGTTTGTTGGCATATAATTGTTCACAGTAGTCTCACGAATTTTAGTATTTCTGTGGTATCATTCGTAATGTCTCTTCCCTCATTTCTGATTTGTCTTCTCTCTTTTTTAGAACTGAGTCTAGCTAAAGGTTTATCTATGTTATCTTTTCGCAAAAATCAACTCTTACTTTCACTGATCTTTTATATTGTTTTTCTGGTTTCTATTTCATTTATTTGTGCTCTGATCTTTATTATTTCCTTCTTTCTGCTAACTTTGGGCTTAGTTTTTGTTTGTTTGTTTGTTTTTCCTAGCTTCTTGAGGTGTAACATTAGGTTTTATATTTGGAACCTGGAGCCTAAATCCACAGGAACTGGCCTGGTGCTGAGAGAGGCTTGGCACCTGGGACCACTGGGATGGGCCTGGAACCTGGGTCTGGGTTGTCTTAGCATCTCAGTCCATAGGCTCTGTCCCAGTATTGGGGTGAGAATGGACCCTGGGTCTGCTGGAGTGGGCCTGAACTCCGGGTTCTCTAGAGCCTGGGGCCAGCATGGAGCTTGGTGCTGTAGGGGCTGGTCTGAAGCCTAGGATTATGGCACTGGCCTGTTACCTGAAGCCACTGGAAATGGCCAGGATCCTAGCGCTGTGGAGACAGGCCTGGAGCCTGTGTCTGCTGGTGTTGGCTGGAGGCTGACTATATAGGTGCTTGTCTAGAGGCTAAGTCTGAAAGGACTGGCCTGGGTTCTGGGGCCAGCCTGGGTCCTGGGTATACATGGGTGTTCCTGGAGCCTGGGTCCATTGAGGTCAATCCACTAGCGGTGTCTACTGGGACAGGCCTGGACCCTGGGTCTGCTGGGGCATGGGGCCACAGGGACTGGCCTAACACTGGGCAGGCCTAGAGCCTGTGTCTCTGAGTTCCTGCCTAGTGTCAAAGGCTAAGGGTGCTAAGGAGTGGACCCCAAGCCTATGGCCATGAGAACTGGCCCATTGCTGGGGACAATCCTGATCCTAGTGTCACTAGGGGTGGCCTTGCCCTGGGGTGGCTCTGGAGCCTAAAACTGCAAGGACCTGTCTGGGGCTGGGGATAGTCTAGAGCCTGGAGCTACTGATGTTGGCCTAGCACTAGGGAGGCCTGGAGCTTGGGGCTAGAGGGTCCTGCCTGATACCAGGGTGGGCTTTCAGGCTGTATCTGCAGGTATTAACTTGAACCTGGGGTAAAGGGGCTAGCCTGGTACTGAGCAGACCTGGAACCTGTATCCACACATGGTAGCCTGATGACTAAGGCTGCAAGAGCCAGCCTGGTGCTGGGGGTAGCCGAGAGCTTAAGACCACTGAGGTCAGCTCAACATTGAGGACAGTCCAGAACCTGAGGGTCCTGAGGTTGTCCTGACAGTAAAGCAGCCTGGAGACCAAGTCTGCTGCATAAGTCTGGAGCCCGGGTCTGTGGGATGCAGCCTGGTGCTAGAACAGGTGGGCTTAGAGGCTTAGTCCATAGATACTGACCTGGAGTCTGGAGCTGTGGGGGCCTACCCTGCATTGTGTTTTACTGAGACAAGCCTGTTGCTGGTGTCCAAGGCAAAGTCCAGTGTCCATTGCCCTCTTTCTCTCCACACTACACTGCCTGGTGTTGGGGGAGGGGTGACATAGGCAATGTAAAACTGACCGTCCCTCCTGCCCTCATCAATGCATCTTTTCATAATTCTGTGCTACACTCAGGAGCTGTAATTTCTCACTTGGTTTCCTTAGCTCCTATAAAGGTCATTTCGTATATGGAGGGATCTTCGAATTGATGTTTCTGCAAGGGAATGACTGCTGGAGCATCCTACTCTGCCATCTTGCTGATGCTTTTCTCTGAGTCAGGGTTTTGACCAGTCATATCATCATCACCGATCCTGCTGACAATGCCTCTGTTCAGCACCCCACCCATAGGTCTTGAATCAGGGCTTTCACATGTCCTTACTGAGGATGCATTCCCACTATTCTGTGCCCTAGCCCATGGGTCTTGAGCCAGGGCTTTGATAACCATCACTGGGGTTATGCTGCCACTGCTCTAGACTCTACACTCTGGGGCTTAAGTCACAGCTATCACTGCTGTTTGCCCCACTCCCTGGGGCCTGAATTTTGGCTACAACCAGCTACCCCTTGGGCCACACTAGTTGCACCACAGACCCACAGCCCAGTCCTCTTCTTGGTCCTGTCACTGCTGGATCTGTGTTACTGTTATATCCCTTCCCCATGAGGTCAAGTCATTGTGGAATGTCCTAGAGACCCACCCTGAACTCTGTAGATGATCTGCACAAGACCATGTCTTAATCACTGGCACTACTACCCCAGCAAGTACGTCTGTGCCCCAGTCCCCAAATGCCACAGCAGTTCCGTGCACACCTAACCACAGATCCTCACGTCAGCTGCTACTCCAAATACCTGTGCCTTAAGCACTGGTACCACCATCACTGTCTTAGCCTCTTTGGGCTGCTATAACAAAATGACTTAAGCTGGATTATTTATAAATTATAGAAATGTATTGCTTACAGTTCTGGAGGCTGGAAAGTCACATATCAAGGCAACAGAAGATTAACAGTCTCTAATGAGGGCTGGCTCTGTGTTTCAAAGATGGTAACTTCTTCCAGCATCCTTACATGGCAGAAGAAGTAAGTACATTCCCTTCAATCTCTATTATGGGGGCACTAATCCCATTTGTGAGGGCAGAGCCCTCATGACTCAATATCTTTCAGATAGGCCTCACTTATTAAAACTGTCACATACGGTATTAGTTTCCAACATATAAAATTGAAGGGAACACCCACATTCAAACCATAGCAGCCACTGATCATGCATCTGCCCCAATCCCAGCATCACCACAGCTGCGGTTGTGTGAATGCCAGCATGCCACAACCAGTGCCAAGAGGAATAACCTTGGCTAGAATATCCCCCCATGAGAGAAAAGGAGTGCAGGAGGAACCCAGCAGCCACCACGACCAAAGACCACAAGAGCCCTAGCCACTATAGCCACCACAGACTGCACACATATAAACGTAAGGCTGCCAGAAAAATGAAAACATCAAGGAAATATGATACCACTAAAGAAACACAGTAACTATGCAGTAAGTGATCTCAAAGAAACAGAGATCTATGTTATCTGAAAAAGAATTAAAAATAATTATTTTAAGGAAGATCAGTGAGATACAAGAGAACACATACAGCTCAATGAACTCAGGAGAGTAATAAACAAAACAAGTTCAACAAAGAAACAGAAATTATCAAAAAGAAGCAAACAAAAATTTTAGAACTGAAGAATATAATGAATGAAATAAAAATGTAAAAGAGAGCTTCAAACAGCAGACATGATCAAACAGAAGAAAGAATCTGCAAACTTGAAGGCAGATCTTATGAAATTATCCATTGAGAAGATAAAAAAAAAAAGAATGAAAAATAGTGAAGAAAACCCATCAACTGAATCACCGATCACATTTGGATGTTTGTCCCCTCCAAATCTCATGTTGAAATGTCATCTCAAATTTGAAGGTGGGGCCCGGTGGGAGGTTACTGGATCATGGGAGCAGTCCCTCATAAATAACTTGGTGCTGTCCTCATAATAGTGAGTGAGTTTTTGCAAGATCTGGTTGTTTAAAATTTTGTAGCACCTCCCCACTTACTTTCTTGCTGCCACTCTCACCATATGACATACTGGCTCCTCATTGTCTTCTGGCATGATAGTTAGCTTCCTGAGGCTCTCACCATAAACATGTCAGCACCATGCTTCCTGTACAGCCTGCAGTACTGTAAGCCAAAAATAAAACCTCTTTTCACAAATTAGCTAGCTTCAGGTATTCCTTTATAGCAATGCAAAAATGGTCTAATGCAACATAGATGCTAAAGTCCTCAACAAAATACTAGCAATCTAAATTCAACAGCACATTAAAAGACTCATTCATGGATGGGAGGAAAATAGCAAATAGGAAGCAGGGCTAACAAGCATCTCCCACTTGGACAGACAGAACAGTGTGTGGAGACTCATACCATGAACTTTTGTTCCAAGAACCACTGCAGGAACATACCAGGAAAACCAAAAGAATTCACAGATCCTTTGATGGTAGTGGAGCGCTGCTGCAAATTCCATGAGATGGGTGAGTTCCCAAAGTGAGAGAGGGTGAAAACCTGCCTCCAAACACACATTCCACTGGGGAATCTAAAAATCCAGATCATGGGAGAAGGATTTAACCTTGCCTAGAGCTGGAATAGATTTCAGGAGCCGCATGAAATATAAAGTTAAAAGCAGCAGTGGGGAAGGACCTCGTAGGCACTCAGAGTCTCCAGCTCAAGCCCAGGGAAGCCATCCCTAACTATATCTCACAGGGGCCCTCAGAGAAGACAGCCAGCAGAATTAGGGAGCGGTCAAAGGGTGAAAGAAACTTCCAACTGAATTTTGTAATAATTTTGACTGGGCACAAACATTCTTGAGCAGAATATAGGGGGTGTGAACGGGAACTGCTGCAAATACGAGCATAGGAATCACTGACACTGTGAGCACACAGAGAGGGAAGAGGGCCTGAAAGCCGCGCTTGTGTTCTTAGCAAGGCAACTTATGGCCCAGGGCAGGTCTGAGCTCTGTGCACAGGCTGCCTGGATCTAAACTGTTAGCAGGGCACTGCAGAATCAAGATCGGCCTCGCCAAATGCATGGGAGCTGGGTGAGTCCTTTCACTACTGGCTATACTCCAAATCCCTGGAGAACTATACTGCACAGCAGAGGCAGCCATAATCCCCTCTGGAACATAACCCCATTGGCCTGAGAACCACCTCCCTCAACCCCCACACAGGCCTATGCAAGCCCCGTGCAAGAAGAGTCTAAGCTCAGATCCACTTAATAACCCTGCCCCCACGTGGTGGTATTTTCCAACCTGCCCTGGTAACCAAGTACAAAAGACGTGAACTCTTGGGAGCTTTATGGCCCTGCCCATTACCTGAGAAAACAGAATACTTCCTCTGGCAAACTTAGGGCAAGCTTATATCCCACTACTGCTACCACAGCTGGTGTTATCTTGAATGTGTTACCTCCTGACTGGAGGCCAATTATCTCAGGCCATTACAGCAACTCATGACAGAATAACCCTGCTCCTAAGAAGAGGGAGAGCACCACGTCAGGTGATTGCCCCATGGGATAAAAGAATCTGAACAGCAGGACTTGAGTTCTGGATCTTTCTGCTGGTGGGTAGTTTCTCACAGCAGAGACACAATTGCAATGCTGGGCACAGTAGAGAAAGTCTACACCTATACCCCAACAGGCAGGCAGCCTCTGTGATCATAAAACGTCTTGGAGAAGGGGACCTTGTACCCCCCGGCACTCCACTGAAGACACAGCAGGGGCTTCCCCAACAGGAACGCAGCCTAGAGGAATGTATAGACAGGCTTGCTGGAACAATCCAGGGTGAGTGTATCCCCGTAAGAGGAGTACACTCCAGGTTCAGGCCAGCATGAGAGGCAGAGTCACAATTCCCCGCTACCTGGAAGATCAACATTCCTATACATGAAAAGATGTGCCTGTATGATCCAAGTAGCTGAAACACAAAGACAGGAGTGAGGCTATGACGTGAATAACTTTCCTGCTGACCTGGCAGGGGAGCTGAGGTAGCTCCCACTCTTCACTCTGATAAAACCTCAGCAGATCTCACTGAGAGCTCCCCCAGCAACCCTCATCAAGGTTGGGACCTTGGCCCACAGTTGGGCATTATTAGGTTGGTACAAAAGGAATTGAGGTTTTTGCCATCAATGGCAAAAACCTCAATTCCTTTTGTACCAACCCTATCTTAGCCACAACTGGTGACTATCCAGGGATACTTTCCTTATTAGACTGAAGACTGAATCATCAATTTAGTAAATAAAACAATGGAAAAAATAAAGTAAATAAATAAATTGTATGCCATGAGAGAATGAGATAACCTTCAAAAGATCCCTGCCATTCCAACTCCATAGGAGACAGTGAACTCACCCACACACCACAAATATAACTACCACAACCAGCATCAGGGAAAGCCAGCACACAAAGGCTCTCTTTATAACTAAGGATCTCATACAGAGTCTTCACCCCTACAAGCACAAAGAACCAAATTAGGCTAAAATAAATATTAAAGTCTGGGCCGGGCATGGTGGCTCATGCCGGTAATCCCAGCACTTTGGGAGGCCGAGGCGGGTGGATCACCTGAGGTCAGGAGTTTGAGACCAGCCTGGCCAACATGGTGAAACCCCATCTCTAATAAAAATACAAAATTAGCCGTGCGTGGTGGCACACACCTATAATCCCAGGTACTCGGGAGGCTGAGGCAGGAGAATCACTTACACCCGGGAGGCGGAGGTTGCAGTGAACAGAGATCACGCCATTGCACTCCAGCCTGGGCCACAAGAGTGAAATCCCATCTCATAAATAAATAAATAAATAAATAAATAAATAAATAAATAAATATTAAAGTCCGATCCTTAAGAAGGAAAAAAAGAAATTTAAAATAAAAAAGAAGTCCAATCAAAAAAAGATTCAAGAACAATTTTAAGAAATAGTCTACACAAATGAGAAGAAACCAGAAAAGTAATTCTGGTAATGACAATACAGGGTTCTATAACACCCCCAAATAATCACACGAGCTCCCCAAGCAGTGGATCCAAACCAAGAAGAAATCTCTGAATTGCCAGATAAAGAATTTAGAAGGCTGATTATTAAACTACTCAAGGAGATACCACAGAAAGGTGAAAAAGACCTTAGATAATTTTTTTAAAAAATACAGGATATGAATGAAACCTTTTCCATAGAAATAGGTATCATAAAGAAAAACCAATCACAACTTCTGGAAATGAAAGACATGCTTAGTGAAATATAAAATGCAGTGGAAATTTTCAAAAATAGACTAGAACCAGTAGAAGAAAGAATTTCAGAGCTCGAAGACAAGGCTTTCGAATTAACCCAATCAGAAAAAGACAAGGAAAAAGCAATCTAAAAAAATGAACAAAGCTTCCAATAAACTGAGGATTATGTTAAATGGTCAAATCTAATAATAATTGGTGTTCCTGAGGAAGAAGAGAAATCTCAAAGTTTGGAAAACTCGTTTGAAGGAATAATTGAGAAAAAATTCCCTGGTCTTGCTAGAGATCTAAACATCCAACTAAAAGAAGCTCAAAGAACTTCTGGGAAATTCATCACAAAAAAGATCATCACCGAGACACACAGTCATCGGGTTATCTAAACTCAAGGTGAAGGAAAGAATCTTAAGAGCTGTGAGACAAAAGCATCAGGTAAACTATAAAGAAAAACCTATCAGACTAACAGCAAATTTCCTAGCAGAAACTTTACAGCCAGAAGGAATTGGGGTCCTATCTTTAACCTCCTTAAATAAAATAATTGTCAGCCAGTAATTTTGTTTCCAGCAAACCTAAACTTCATAAATAAAGGAGAGATAAAGTCGTTTTCAGACAAAAAAAAAAAAATGCTGAGAATTTGCCACTACCAAGCCAGCACTACAAGAACTGCTAAAAGCAGTTCTAAATCTTGAAAGAAAACCTCAAAATACACCAAAATACAACCAACTAAAAGCATAAATCTCACAAGGCCTATAAAACAATAATGCAATTTAAAAAAAAGGTATTCAGGCAACAACTAGCATGATAAATAGAACAGTACCTCACATCTCAATACTAACGCTGATAGTAAATGGCCTAAATGCTCCACTTAAAACATAAAGAATGGCAGAATGAATAAAAATCCACCAACCAAGTAATTGCTGAGACTCACTTAACACATAAGGACTCACATATACTTAAGGTAAAGGGGTAGAAAAAGATAGTCCATGCAGATGGACACCAAAAGTGAGCAGGAGTAGCTACTCTTATATCAGACAAAACACACTTTAAAATAACAACAGTTTAAAAAGACAAAGAGGGATATTATATAGTGATAAGAGGACTACCCCAACAGGAAAATATCACAGTCTTAAACACATATGTACCTAACACGGGAGCTCCAAAATTCATAAAACAATTCCTACTAGACCTAAGAAATGAGATAGACAGCAACACAATAATAGTAGGGTAGGGGACTTCAATACTACACTGACAGCACTAGACAGGTCATCAAGACAGAAAGTCAACAAAGAAACAATGGATTTAAACTACATCCTAGAACAAATGGACTTAGATATTTATAGAACTTATTACCCCAAAACTGCAGAATATACATTCTTTTCATCAGGACATGGAACATTCTCCAAGACAGACCACATGATAGGACACAAAACACTTCTGAATAAATTTAAGAAAATCAAAATCATATTAAGCATCTTTTCAGACCACTGTAGAATAAAACTGAAATAACTCCAAAGGGAACCCTCAAAACTATACAAATACATGTAAATTAAATAATCTACTAATGAATGATCTTTGGGCCAACAATGAAATTAAGATGGAAATTTAAAAAGTCTTTGACCTGAATAACAGTAACACAACTTATCAAAACCTCTGGGATACAGCAAAAGTAGTGCTAAGAGGAAAGTTCATGGTATTAAATGCCTACATCAAGAAGTGTGAAAGAGCCCAAATATTGACAATCAAATATCACACCTCTAGGAACTGGAGAAACAAGGTCAAACTAAACCTAAAGCTAGAAGAAAAGAAATAACAAAATCAGAGCAGGACCAAATAAAATTGAAACAAAAAAATACAAGAGATAAATAAAACAAGGATCTGTTTATTTGAAACGATTAAGAAAACTGATTGACCATTAGAGAGATTAAAGAAGAGAGAATATCCAAATCAGCTCACGTAGAAATGAAAAGGGAGATATTACAACTGATACCATAGAAATGCAAAAGATCATTGAAGGCTACTAAGAACACCTTTGTGCACACAAACTAGAAAACCTAGCATAGATGGATACATTCCCAGAAATACACAATCCTCCTAGATTAAATAAGGAAGAAACAGAAACTGAACAGACCAATAGCGAAATCGAAACAGTAATTTAAAAATTGCCAACAAAAACAGATTCCAGGACCAGATGGATTCACAGCTAAGCTGTATCAGACACTCAAAGAAGAATTGGTACCAATCCTACTGAAACTATTACAAAAAATAAAGAAAGAGGGAGTCCTCCCTAGATCATTCTATGAAGCCAGTATTACCCAAATACCAAAACCAGGAAAGGACATACAAAAAAAAGAAAACTACAGACCAATATCCCTGATGAACACAGATGCAAAAATCCTCAACAAAATACTAGCTAACTGAATCCAAACAGCATATCAAAAAGATGAGCAAGTGGGTTTCATACCAGGGAGGCAGGGATGGTTTAACATACACAGGTCAATAAACGTGATACATCACATAAACGGAATTAAAACTAAAAATCATAAGATCATAAGATCACCTCAACAGAAGCAGAAAAAGCATTTGAAAAACTCCTGGCTCCCTTCATGATAAAAACCTTCTGCAAAACTGGCATAGAAGGGACAGATCTCAAGGTAATAAAAGCCATTTATGACAAACCCACAGCCAATACCATACTAAATGGGGAAAAACTGAAAGCATTCCAATGAGACCTGAAACAACACAAGGATAACCACTGTCACCACTTCTATTCAACATGATACTGGAAGTCCTAGCCAAAGAAATCAGACAAGAGAAAGAAATAAAGGGCACCCAAATCAGAAAAGAGGAAGTCAAACCACTGCTGTTCACCAATGATATGATAGTATACCTAGAAAAGTCTAAGAACTCATCCAAAAAGCTCCTAGATCTAACAAATGATTCAGTAAAGTCTCAGGTTACAAAATCAATGTACACAAATCAGTAGGACTGCTATACACCAACAACGATCAAGCTGAGAATCAAATCAATAATTCAATCCCTTTTACGACAGCTGCAAAACAGAAACAAAAAAATAAACAAACAAAAAAACTTCAGGAGGTGGAAGATCTCTACAAGAAAACTATAAAACACTACTGAAAGAAATTATAGATGACACAAACAAATGGAATCATATCCCATGCTCATGGATGGGTACAATCAATATTGTGAAAATGACCATACTGCCAAAAGTGATCTACGGATTCAATACAATTCACATCAAAATATCATCATCATTCTCCACAGAACTAGAAGAAAACAATCCTTAAATTCATATGGAACCAAAAAAGAGCCCACATAGCTGAAGTAATACTAAGCAAAAAGAACAAATCTGAAGGCATCGTATTACCCAACTTCAAACTATACTACAAACTAGGCTACAGTTACCAAAACATGGTACTGGTATAAAAGTAGGCACGTAGACCAATGGAACACAGTAGAGAACCAAGAAATAAAGCCAAATACTTACAGCCAATTGATCTTAGGCAAAGCAAATAAAAACAGAGTGGGAAAAGCACACACACCCTGTTCAACAAATCATGTTGGAATAACTGGCAAGCCACATGTAGAAGAATTAAACTGGATCCTTATCTCTCACCTTATACAAAAATCAACTCAACATGGATCAAAGACTTAAATCTAAGACCTGAAACCATAAAAATTCCAGAAGATAACATCAGAAAAACTCTTCTAGACATTGGCTTAGGCAAAGAGTAGTTCATGACCAAGAACCCAAAAGCAAATTCAACAAAAACAAAAATAAATAGATGGGACTTAATTAAACTAAAAAGTTTCTACACAGCAAACAAAATAGCAGAGAAAACAGACAACCAACAGAGTGGGAGAAAATACTCATAAACTATGCATCTGACAAAGGACTAATATCCAGTATCTACAAGGAACTCAAACAAATCAAGAAAAGAACAAATAATTTGCATCAAAAAGTAGGTGAAGGTCATGAATAGACAATTCTCAAAATATGCAAATGTCCAACAAACATATGAAAAAATGCTTAACATCACTAATTATCTGGGAAATGGAAATTAAAACCACAATACGATACCATCTCACTCCTGCAAGAATGGCCATAATTAAAAATAAAAAAATAATAGATGTTGGTGTGGATGTGGTGAAAAGGGAACACTTTTACACTGCTGGTGAGAATGTAAGCTAGTACAACCACTATGGAAAACAGTATGGAGATTCATTAAAGAACTAAAAGTAGAACTACTATTTGATCCAGCAACCCCACTACTGGGTATTTACCCAAAGAAAAAAAGTCATTATATAAAAAAGTCACTTGCACATGCATGTTTACAGCAGCACAATTTACAATTGTGAAAATATGTAACCAACCCAAATGCCCATCAACCAATGAGTGGATCAAGAAAATGTGGTATGTATACAACATGGAATAGTACTCAGACATAAAAAGGAAGAAAATAATGGCATTTGCAGCAACCCAGATGAAGTTGGAGAACATTATTCCAAGTGAAGTAACTCAGGTATTGAAAACCAACTATCATGTTTTCACTAATAAGTGGGGGCTAAGCTATCAGGATGCAAAGGCATAAAATTAAGATAATGCACTTTGGGGACTTGGGAATACTGGGAGGGGGTAAGGGACAAAATACTGCACACTGGAGACAGTGTAAACTGCTCAGGTGACAGGTGCACCAAAATCTCAGAAATCACCACTAAAGAACTCACCCATTTAACCTAAAACCACCTGTTCCTGAAAATCTATTAAAATTTTTTTTAAATGGGCAAAATATCTGAACAGATACTTCATCAAAGATACACAGATGACAAATAAGCGTATGAAAAGATGCTTAACAGCATATCATTGGAGAATTACAAATTAAAACAACAATGATATACCACTGTATACCTACTAGCAGGGTGAAAATCTGAAACATTGACGACGGTAAATGCTGGGGAGAACATGGAGAAACAGGAAGTCTCATTCATTGCTAGTAGGAATGCAAAATGATACAGCCACTTAGAAGGGTAGCTTGACAGCACTATTCACAATAGCAAAGATATGGAATCAACCCAAATGTTCACCAATAACAGATTGGATTAAAAAAATTGGTACATATACACCATGGAATACTATGCAGCCATAAAAAGAAATGAGATCATGTCTTTTGCATGAACATGGATGGAGCTGTAGGCTATTATCCTTAGCAAGTAAACGCAGGAACAGAAAACCAAATACCACATGTTCTTACTTATAAGTGGGAGCTAAATGATGAGAACTTAAATGATGAGAACTTACAAACACAAAGAAGGAAACCACAGACACCTGAGGGTAATGGGTGGGAGCAAGGAGAGGAGCAGAAAAGACAACTACTGGGTAATGAGCTTAACAGCTGGGTGATGAAATAATCTGCACAACAAATGCCCATGATACGAGTTTACCTGTGTAACAAATCTTCACATGTACACCTGAACCTAAAATAGAAGTTGAAAAAAAAAGTAAATAAATAAATAAAAGTAAAAGGCTCATTCACCATGATCAGTAAGTTTTATCCCAGAGATGCAAGGATGGTTCAACATATCCAAATCAATAAACATGATACACCACATTAATAGAATGAAAGACAAAAACAACATGATCATTTCAATGAATGTGGAAAAAGCATTTGGCAAAATTCAACATCCTTTTGTGATAAAAACTCTCAACAAATTAATTATCCAAGATATGTACCTCAACATAATAAAAGCCATATATGATAAGGCCACAACTAATATCATACCCAATGGTGAAAAGCTAAAAGCTTTTCCTCTAAGATCAGGAACAAGTCTCTTGCCACTTTTATTTAACATAGCACTGGAAGTTCTAGTCAAAGCAATCAGGCAAGAGAAAGAAATGAAAGACATACAAATTGGAAAAGAAGAAGTAAAATTGTCTCTTCTCCCAGATTACATGATATTATACATAGAAGATCTTAAATACGCCACCAAAAAACTGTTAGAACTAATAAATAAACTCAGGGAACTGCAGCATACAAAGTCAACATACAAAAAAGCAGTTACATTTCTATACACTATCGAAGATGATCTACCCAAAAAAGAAAGAAAGAAAGCAATCCCATTTAAAATAGCATCAGAAAGAATAAAACACTTAAGAATAAACTTAACCCAAGAGGTCAAAGAGCTGTATATTGAAAACTATCAAACCATAATGGAAAAAATTGAAGATACAAATGAATGGCAAGATATCCTATGTTCATGAATTGGAAGAATTAATGTTGTTAAAATATCCATACTACCCAAAGCAATCCACAGATTCAATTCTAGTGGCATTTTTCACAGACATAGAAAAAATAAACAATTGCAAAATTTGTATGGAATCACAAAAGACTCTGAATAGCCAAAGTAGGTGTACAACCAAAGCAAATGAAATCAGCAATTGCAAAGATATCTGCACTCCCATATTCACTGCAGTATTATTCACAACAGCCAAAACATGAAAACAACCTAAGTGTCTAATCGAAGTGTCTGCCAACAGATCAACGGATGAAGAAACTGTGGTATACACACACACACACACACACACACACACACACACACACAACGGGTTATCATTCAACCATAAAAAAAAGAAAGAAATCCTGTCATTTACAACAACATGGATAACCCTCAAGGGTATTATGCTGAGTGAAGTAAGTCAGACAGAGAAAGACAAACTGCCTGATTTTATTTGTACGTGGAATTTTGAGAAGTTGAACTCACTGAACTAGAGAATAGAATGCTGGTTCCCACAGGCAAAGGTAAAGGAAAGGCGAGAGGTTGGGAGGTTGGCCAAAGGGCACAAACTTTCAATGACAGGTAAGTTCAAGGGATATAATACACAGCATGGTGAAGTGATACATATAAACTAATTTGATTCTGGTAATCATTCCACAAAATATATGTATATCAAATCATCACACTGCACACCTTAAAATCAAACCATTTTATTTATCAGTTATACCTCAATAAAGCTGGGGAAAAAAAGAAAAAAAAATACATAAACCCAGAGGGTCTTATAGCTACCTATTCCCTGGGGACATCTTGAATTTACCATTCCCTAGAACGTCTTAATAGCTAAAATCATAAATTCAGCAAGTTTTTCTCTGAGTGCAACCTCCTATCATTACAGTTTCGATTTCCTTACTGATCTATTTCAGTTCTTACAGGTAAAGTTACCTACCTTAGAAGACTTTTAGTGAGAATTAAATGAAATAATGAGTATCAACAGCTTAGCGCAGTACCTGATACACAGTAAGTCCTCAATAAATCATAGACAAATTTTGATTTTAAGTATGCATTAAAAACAAATTATCTGCCAATACCCAAATTGTCTTCAAACTCACTCTCAACCTCTGGCATTAAATGAAACTTGGCTTTTATTTGACACTACTATTATACATTCCTCCCAATCCACTTAATTGAAGGCCAGACCCCCAGGAATTCCCCGATTCCAGAAGACCCGAGAGATCAGCACAGTCCTTGCTTCTCAAGCACCATGATCTCCACAAATCTTAGCCATTTCTAACACAGTTACCCTACTTTGCAATTATTAGAAATCGTTTCACCTTCAAGATCCTAAATGCTTGAAATTTCCCTCATTAAAATAGAATGCTCTTTCAACTCTCCTACTCTTTTTGAACTAGTTCTTCTTTCTCACTATGGCCATAAATCTTCTAGTACCCTAGTCCATCACTTCAATCTTCTTCTTTGTCTCCTTATCCACAGTGGATGACTATTTGGATAAATTCCCTAGATCTTCTATCATTCTCACTTTGACAACACTCAGCATTGGAGCAACCCCACTGTCTCCTCTTCCCCTCCTATGCTGTGAGCACTGCTGGAGAAAGTCACTACTAGAGCCAACATTAGCCAGGCCCTCACTTCTCAGCAATTATTAATATTTTATTCAATGTCTACTGATACTTTACTGAATTTCCTAAAGCACCTTTTCCAAGCCTATCCCATTCTTAAACTCCTAAAGGCATATTTTCCTCTCAGCAGATGACCTTCCACCCAGAAGATACAGACCTCCAATGTGAGCTCCCTCCTCTACCTCCTCCGTTCTTCAAAATCACTTGGTATCTTCACCTTCTATCTCGACCAACTCTGGCCTTTGAAGCAAAGTGTGTCTCCTCTTTGCAAGGTTAATCCCTCCACTTGTTCTCTTGATTTTACCACTTTCTTACAAAGTATGGTTAAGAGTCCAGGTTCAGGACTCATACCATGTGATTTCAGATCCAGCTCTACCACTTTACTCCTGTGTGACCTTGGAGTTACTTGACCTTTTTAAGCTTCTGTTTCCCTACCTGTAAAAAGTGATTAATATAAATTCCTACTCATAGGGCCAATGTGAAACATAAATGAGAGAATCCACATAAAGTGCTTAGCAAAATTCCTAGCACGTAGTCAATATTCAATAACACAATAGCTGTAAATACTATTATCTTTCCCTCTAGATACCTCCTGGTACATTTTCCCTTGTCTCCAAAGTAGCTCAAGTCTTCTGTCTCCTGTTTTGTTTTTAGTTTTTTTTTTTTTTAATTAAAAGACACCTTTTCTGGAATTTGCTACCCTCATTCCAAGATTTTGTTCCTTCTTTTCACCACCAAACTTCTCTAAAGAGTAATGTATAACTCCTTTCCAGAGGAAGCAAGGAGGAGTGGAAAGACTTTGGAGATAAATATACTGTTTGAACCTAGTTCTTCCACTTAGTGGTTGTATGACCTGGAGCAAGCAGTTTTTCTAAGCCTCCGTTTTTCCATCTGTAAAATGGATATATTACCCATTTCTTAGGGTCATCAAGAGGATTAAACTAAAATAATATATGTAAATCATCTGGCCAAAGTGGGTGCTAAATGAATGCCAGTTCTCCATCCCTTATTCTTTTCTTAACCCCATACAATCTTGGTTGTTCCTCTACCACTCTATTTATCTCTTTAGCTCACTTCAGCTCTTATTAGCATGGTTTTGAATAATCTGACTTCTCTAAACCTTAATTTTCATGTGTAAAATGGTAATAATACCCACCACATAAAGTTGTCTTGAGAATTAGTGAATTAACACATGTAACGTGTTTTAGCATAGTGCCTGGCCTGGAGTAAGCACTTAATAAATGATAACAGCAGCAACTTATTAATGGTGAAATCAAAGGACTGTTCAACTCTCTTCTTCTCAATGAAAACACACTATTCTGGTTTGCTTTTTGCCACTGACCATTCCTTCTGTCTCTGCACCTTCTCCATGAAGCCTCTTTTTACTCTCTTCAAACCAAGTGTGAGCTCTCTCCTTTTGAGCGTCAGAGCACTTTGTACTTCTCTTCAGGTAAGAAACTCCCCTTACTCTGAATCACAGTCATTTGTGTTATATGTGTTATATCTCCACCACTTAATCTCTTCTGTCCTCATTGCCTGGCACTTTATTCATGTAGAACATGTTGACTACCTAATATACATCAGACCTGTGCTAGGTACTACGGATACAAAGGTTAATATAATTACTGTCTTCAAGGAGCTTATAGTTTAGGTAGCTAGAACAGACAAGTAAGTAGTCTATATGTGCAGTGGAATAAATGCTTGGTTAAGAGTGTGCCCAGAGTCCTCTGGGAGCACAAACAAGAGTTATTAAAATAGACTGGCGAGGACCGGGCGTGGTGGCTCACGCCTGTAATCCCAGTACTTTGGGAGGCCCGGGGGGGGGGGGGGGTGAATCACGAGGTCAGGAGTTCGAGACCAGCGTGACCAACATGGTGAAACCCCGTCTCTACTAAAAAATAAAAATAAAAAAATTTAGCCGGGCATGGTTGGCATGCGCCTGTAGTCCCAGCTACTCAGGAGACTGAGGCAGGAGAATCGCCTGAACCCGGGAGGTGGAGGTTGCAGTGAGCTGAGATCGCGCCACTGCACTCAAGCCTGGGAGACAGAGAGAGACTCCGTCTCAAAAATAAAAAATAAAATAAAATAAAATAGACTGGGGAGATCAAGGACACTATTAAACAAGGCATTTTTGTGTTTTGCATATGGGGAGGCTGTACACAAATAGCTGCTGAATGAATGAATGAACTATAAATACAACTAGATAAGCATGGGAAAAGGCACTTTAGGCCCAGAGAAAGAGCACGTAAAAAAGCATGGCGGGGTCAAGCAAGCAGCTCAGTATCGACAGGAGGAGGGTTCCTGAGTGACAAGAGATGAGGCTGGAAAGTCTAGGTAAAATCAGATGTTCTAGACATAAGAGTATGGCCTGACCCCAGAGGGGAGATGATGACATGCCCATAAAATTTTTTAAATGCGGGGGGAGGCAAAAATCAAATTTGCATTTTGGTAGATGTACTCTGGCAACACAGAGGAAAACAGATTACATGAGAGCCAGGCTTGAGGTGGCAAGTTCAGGTAGGAGGTTGTTCAAATAACTCAGATGAAGTATGAGAACCAGAACTGTAGACGCTGCCGACTTAAAACTTCAGCGGAACTGAATTATTCATACTGTATCTCCTGCAAGCCTAACAGAATATTTTACAATTAAAACCCGCTACGTAAATATCTGTAGACTACCATTATTAAACACTACTTAGGGAACTGCAGCAAGCTGCCAGCTGAGTCACTCACTGTACACGGACTCCCAAGTAAAGGCACCTTTCCCAAGCGTAAAACTCGAAAGGAACAGGTTATTCGAGCACAGAAAGCAACAACACTATGTGTAAACCAGCGCACTGCTGAAAGACTATGGGACCTCTCTATCCTGGTCAGTTTCACCCCAAATGTTTCAACAAAGTCCTTCCATAGGGTCATGTGGCCTTGCCCTGTGCGCCGAGACAAATGCCAAGTTTATATATATATTTTTCTCTTTATTGCAGCTGAAGACCGAAACGTCTACTGCGGCTCGTCGCCTGGCCAGCCATTTTCACCCAGCCGTTTCCCAGTTTTGTACTGTGCCACTGTGTAAATCGACAACCACAGGGGATTGAGGGAGCAGCGTCCCAGGCTGATAAAACCCTAATGGGGAAAGGCAGGTGTCTTGAGGCTTCAAACGATAAAGATTGCAATTATCTCAAAACCCACCTCCACCCTGCCCCTTGTTTCAGGGCTCCTTCAGAAGTTAGTAGGATCCCTTTTACAGTTACCGGGATGCTATCGGCACCCACAGAAATTAAGCAAGTTGGTTTTCGCTTACCCTGATGGCCGCCATGTCTACAACCCTTTCGGCCAAGGTTTTCAGACGGAGAGCAGAGAGGGACAAATCAGTTCGACTAGGCTTCCCTTAGGACAGCCCCACCCCGTTACGCCCCTTGCCTGCCAGTTACCGCCTTTTCTCCGCCCTCCTCCAGCCGCCTTGGCAACTGCTGCGGTTTCGGTCAGCTGTCTTCTGGAGAAACTGTTCACCCCTGTGGTTGACCCTCCCGGTCCCAGATAAAGCCTTCCAGAACATTATCAATAGTCCAGTTGGGAGTTATTTTCCTGGGTGCAGAACTTTTAATTATTTTGTTTCGGGCATATGTGATATGTCCAGATAAGGACTTAATACCCAAATGTAGCTGCTTTAATAATTAATTATATAGTAAGAAAAACAACTTATTACCTCTGCGAAACATGGGTAAGTTCATTCATTCTAAAACTAAGTCACGGAGAGCATACTCTGTGCCGGGCAGTTGTTCGGGGCATAGACAAAACATAGTGGCTTCCTCACAGAGCTTATGATTACAGGAGTAAAAGAGACAAATGAGGCCGGCGCGGTGGCTCACGCCTGTAATCCTGGCACTTTGGGAGGCCGAGACGGGCGGATCACGAGGTCAGGAGATCGAGACCATCCTGGCTAACACGGTGAAACTCCGTCTCTACTAAAAGTACAAAAAAAATTAGCCGGGCGTAGTAGCGGGCGCCTGCAGTCCCAGCTACTCGGGAGGCTGAGGCAGGAGACTGGCGTGAACCCGGGAGGCGGAGCTTGCAGTAAGCGGAGATCGCGCCACTGCACTTCAGCCTGGGCGACAGAGCGAGACTCCGTCTCAAAAAAATAAATAAATAAATAAAAATAAATAATAAATTTTAAAAAAGAGACAAATGCTATGAAGGAAAATAAAACAGTATGGGAATGAGGTGGGAGTTTACTGGTTTATATCAATGAGAGAAAGACTCTGATAAGCTCATTTGATAAAAGTCCTGGAGGAATTTAGAGAAGAGGGTTGCATACGGAAGGAACAGCAATGAAAAAGTCCAGTGAGGCTGGAGCAATAATTTCAGAGGTAGCGAAGTAACACAGTGTAGGGGCTTTCGTGCCGCCAAAATAAATTTGGATTTTATGCTGAATAAGATGGGAAATCATTGGAGGATTTTGAGCAAAGGTGTGATGTGATCTAATTTACATTTTTAAAGGATGATTTTGGTGCTATCAGGAGAATATACTAAGGGTATATTGCAATATTCACAACAGGAGCAAGGTCTGCTGTAGGCCTCCCTGAAGGATTCTGAGGAAAGAAGATGCTCATAATATGCCCATTAACAGTCCCAATATTAATTCATGTATTCATTCATTCAATCAACAAATATTTATTATGTGCAAACTATATACTAGGCATTAGTTGATACCTATCACATTTCATACCCAAAACAGATCCTTTTTAACAGAACTGTCCTGTAAATGACAAAATTATTTTAAGAAATAATGATGAAATGAAACTAATAATACTGGCTACAAAAGAAACATTGAGTGACTATTTTCTTTTATTGAACTTAATATAAACATATACATACATATATATGCCAATATAAAAATAAAATGCAAAATAAATAGTACAGAACCAAAAAAGGAAAAAAATGGATCAAGGTGTTTTAATTGCATTAATGTATTTTTCAAAGGAAAAATACTTATATCTACATAGTGGTCTGCCACAGGAATGAATAATAATATTACAGTTTCTGTTTTTGAGCCTTAACCTCTGTGTATTTGTCAATAATTTCATCCAAATTTAACATTTCTGCATATTAAATAAATGGTATACCTAGATTTGTCAAGCTAACTTTGTTCATAACTGATTGATGCACACTTTTTATTGATTTTAATATCAGTCAGGTTTATTTCACAATAATCAACAGGCAAATAAGAAAAGTCTTAAAATTGTGAATAAGCTTAGAATAAATTTATAACAATCTTATTTCCCAAAAATTTCAGGAATTTCAATAACACCCATGTTTTGTTGTTGTAGTTGTTGTTGTTGCTTCTTTTCCAACTTTAACTTTTATTTTGGGTTTGGGTACATGTGCCGGTTTGTTATACAGGAAAATTGCATGTCAAGTGGGTTTGACATACAGATTATTTCCTCACCCAGGTAATAAGCATAGCACTTGATAGGTAGTTTTTCAATCCTCACATTCCTTCCACCTTCCACCGTCAAGTAGGCCCCAGTGTCTATTGTTTCCATCTTTATGTCTATGCATACTCACCATTTAGTTCCCACTTATAAGTCAGAACCTGCAGTATTTGGTTTTCTGTTCCTGCACTAGTTCACTGAGGATAATGGCTTCCAGCTCCACCCATGGTGCTGCCAAGGATATGATCTTATTCTTTTTTATGTTTTTGATGGCTGCATAGTATTCCATGGTATATATGTATCACATTTTCTTTATCCAGTCTACTGTTGATGGGCATTTAGGTTGAGTCAATGTCTTTGCTAGTGAGAATAGTGCTGTAATGAGCAGACCCATGCATGTGTCTTTATAGTAGAATGACTTATATTCCTTTGGGTATATACCCAATAATGGACTCCCTATTCAATAAATGGTGCTGGGAAAACTGGTGAGCCATAGGCAGAAGACTGAAACTGGACCCCTTCCTTATACTATAATAAAAAATTAACTCAAGATAGATTAAAGACTTAAATGTAAAACTCAAAACTATAAAAACCCTGAAAGACAACCTAGGCAATGCCATTCTGGACACAGGAACTAGCAAAGATTTCATGACAAAGACACCAAAATCATTGCAACAAAAGCAAAAACTGACAAATGGGATCTAATTAAACTAAAGAGCTTCTGCACAGCAAAAGAAACCATCAATAAACAGATAGCCTACAGAATGGGAGAAAATAATATCCAGCTTCTGTAAGGAATTTAAACAAATTTACAAGAAAATCAAACAACCCCATTAAAAAGTGGGCAAAGGACATGAACAGACACTTCTCAAAAGGAGATATACATGCGGCCAACAAGCATATGAAAAAAAGTTAAATATCAGTGATCATTAGAGAAATGTAAATCAAAATCACAATGAGATACCATCTCACACCAGTCAGAATGGCTATTATTAAAAAGTCAAAAAAATAACAGATGCTGGTGAGGTTGCAGAGAAAAGGGAACACTAATACACTGTTGGTGGGAGTGTAAATTAGTTCAACGATTATAGAAAGCAGTGTGGCAATTCCTCAAAGAGCTAGAAACAGAAATACCATTCAACTGAGCAATCCCATTACCGAGTAAATACACAAAAGAATGTAAATGGTTCTATCATGAAGACACATACACACATATGTTTATTGCAGCACTATTCCCAATAACAGACATGGAATCAACGTAAATGCCCAATCACTATAGACTGGGTAAAGAAAATGTGGTACATATATGCCATGAAATACTACACAGCCAAAAAAAGAATGATATCATGTCCTTTGAAGCAACATAGATGGAGCTGGAGGCCTTTATTTTAAACTAATGCAGGAACAGAAAACCAAATATCACATGCTCTCACTTATAAGCGGGAGCCAAATGATGAGAGCATGTGAACATAAAGAGGGGAACAACAGACATTGGGGCCCACTTGAGGGTAGAGGGTGGGAGGAGGGAGAGGGTCAGAAAAAATAACTATTTGGTGCTAGGCTTAGTACCTGGGTGATGAAATAATCTGTACAACAAACCCCTATAACACAATTTTACCTATATAACAAACCTGCACATGTACCCAAGAACCTAAAATAAAAGTTTTTAAAAAAGTAAATAAATAAAAACAATATTAACTTTTTCAATCCAAAAATAGAAAAAAATTCATAATTTCCTTACACTCATCTTTTCCTATATGAACAATCAAGAATAAATCAATGGAATGCATTCAATGCTTTTATGACCTTATCCACAAATATGGAAGCTTATGACTGGCATGTTTTTGTCAACTAAATGCTTTGACTTTACGTAAGAATGATCTATAGGACATGGAACTATTGTGTATGAGAATAAAAAGAAGTGTAATTCTCAGAATATGTCTATGTGATGTCCCAATTAGTGGCAGAAATATTTAAAAAGTCAGAAAAAATATATACTGGGCTTGAGGCAATGAACAACACAGACACAATCCCTGGTCCCAGGGAGCTTAAGTATATTTTGACTAAGACAGTAAATAAATTAAGATTATTTTAAATGCTGATAAATACTACAGAGAGTGACTATAGTATTTAGTCTCTGGTTTGGGGTGAAAGTTACTTTAGATTGGGAATACCTCTTGAAGGAGCAGATGTTTCAGCAGTCTTGAGTAAAACGTGAGTCTACTCATGTTAATGTTTGAGCACTCCAAGCAGAAGGAACAACTAATGCAAAGACCGTGAGGTGAGAATAAACTTACTGGAGCACCATAAGTAAGGCAGAAAGTGATAGAAGAGTCTGGCAGGAACCAGATCTATATAAAGAATTTGGATTTTCTTTTAGGTTATTTATTCTTAAATATTCCTTGATTTATTATTGTAAGTTTATCAATTGCCACTAATTGCTTTGGGCACAAAAGGCAGCTTTGTATAATGGAAAGTATTAGCATCAAAATAAAATCTTGGCCTCTAAAGGCAGAATCTTGAAGGAGCTGAGCCAGACCAGATGTTCCAAAAGTTAGTGTATTTGGGAATCACCTGCATAATTTGATAAAATGAGAATTCCTGGATCCCACCCTTGGATATTGGTATTTATTTGTTCTGATGTAGGGGCATGTCTGAAGAGTACCCCAGGTGTTTCTAATATGGATATTCCTTGGGCCACATATTGAGAAACAAATCAAGTCCACTTATACGGACTACATAATTTAACAATGGTATGTTATTTCTAGCTCTGACACCCTAGGATCATGTAAGGGCTCTTATTTAATGGTATTTGGTGATCCTGGGCAACAAAGTATTCTTGTGGACACATGAAATCCTCCTCTCCACTGACTTTTATTTTCACTTCACCTCAGCTATCCGCAAAAATGGCCATAGTTTTGACTCTGTTATCACTAAGAAAACTACATTACCTCTGAAATTTTAAATTCAAACATTATTTTTTCAGACTTCAACTATTTTCCCTTGAGCTCTTTGACCCACACATTTTATTGTTTTCCTTGGGCTCTCTAGATCTTAATGTCTATATTAGCTATCTTTGGATGCACAACACTTTACCCCAAATTTAGCAATATAAAAAACAAGCATGTATTGTCTCACAGTTTCTGTGGGTCAAGAGTTCTGAAGTGGTTTAGATGGATGATTCTACTCATCTCTCATGAGGTTGTACTCAAGATATCAGCCAGAGCTGCAGTTATCAGAAGGCTTGATTGGGGTTTAAGGATCCACTTCCAAAATGGCTCATTTGCTTTGGTGGTTGTTGATAGGAGCCTTCAGATATGCCATGTGAATCACTCCATAAGGTTGACTGAGTGTCCTCATAGAGCTCATAGAGTTAGTAGGCTCTAGCTTTAAATGGAGGAATACCAAAGACTTTAAATACATATTTTAAAGCCACCATCACATCACCTTTTTCACTATCTGTTAGTCCCTTCTGGCCTCATTTTATTTTCTAACCAGCCTAGACCTTGTGGTACATCTCTTCAACCACTTTTTTGCCAATAAACTCATCTACCCAGTCTCACTGGAAAAGTTTCATTTTACTCTTCGAAAAAACCCCTACATTCAGGATAAATATACCTAACCTTAGGCAGCTAATTCTCCTCTTCCCTATCGTGGCTATGTTATTTTATTATTTTTTATTTGTATAAATTTAGGGGTACAAGTGCATTTTTTATACATGGATATATTGTGTAGTGGTGAAGTCTGAGCTTTTGGTATAACTATCACCCAAATAGTATACATTGTATCCATTAAGCATTTTCTCATCCCTCACACCCCTCCCACCTCCCACACCTCTGAGTCTCCAATGTTTATTATTCCACACTCTATGTCCATGTATAAACATTATTTAGCTCCTATTTATAAGTGAGATCATGTGATATTTGACTTTCTAAGTTATTTCATTTAAGATAATAGCCTCCACTTCCATCCATGTTACTGCAAAAGATATGATTTTGTTCTTTTTTATGGATGATTAATATCATTAGTATCTGCCCACCTCAGCTTCCCAAAGTGCTGGGATTATAAGCATGAGCCACTGCACTTGGCCTCAATTTTTTTTATCTTTTGAAATAAAAAACTTTTTGTTTAATAGAGTCTTTGTATTTTTTTATAAACAGCCTTTTATTTTATTTTATT
The DNA here is from genome assembly GCF_000001405.40 of Homo sapiens. Classification (NCBI taxonomy): domain Eukaryota; kingdom Metazoa; phylum Chordata; class Mammalia; order Primates; family Hominidae; genus Homo; species Homo sapiens. Next base: position 84,997,617 of record NC_000023.11, on the reverse strand, counting down.
TTTTATTTTTATTTTGTATTATACTTTAAGTTCTGGAGTACATGTGCAGAATGTACAGGTTTGTTACATAGGTATACATGTGCCATGGTGGTTTGCTGCACCCATCAACCTATCATCAACATTAGGTATTTCTCCTAATGCTATCCCTCCCCTAGTCCCCCAGCCCCTGACAGGCCCCTGTGTGTGATGTTCCCCTCCCTGTATCCATGTGTTCTCATTGTTCAACTCCCACTTATGAGTGAGAACCTGCAGAGTTTGGTTTTCCGTTCTTGTGTTAGTTTGCTGAGAATGATGATTTCCCGCTTCATCCATGTCCCTGCAAAGGACATGAACTCATCCTTTTTTATGGCTGCATAGTATTCCATGGTGTATATGTGCCACATTTTCTTAATCCAGTCTATCATTGATGGGCACTTGGGTTGGTTCCAAGTCTTTGCTATTGTGAACAGTGCCACAGTAAACATACATGTGCATGAGTCTTTATAGTAGAACGATTTGTAATCCATTGGGTATATACCCAGAAATGGGATTGCTGGATCAAATGGTATTTCTAGTTCCAGATCCTTGAGGAATCACCACACTGTCTTTCACAATGGTTGAACTAATTTACACTCCCACCAACATTGTAAAAGCGTTCCTATTTTTTCACATCCTCTCCAGCATCTGTTGTTTCCTGACTTTTTAATGATTGCCATTCTAACTGGTGTGAGGTGGTATCACATTGTGGTTTTGATTTGCATTTCTGTAATGACCAGTGATGATGAGCATTTTTTCATGTGTTTGTTGGCTGCATAAATGTCTTCTTTTCATAGGTGTCTGTTCATATATTTTGCCCACTTTTTGATGGGATTGTTTTTTTTCTTGTAAATTTGTTTAAGTTATTTGTAGATCCTGTATATTAGCCCTTTGTCAGATGGATAGATTGCAAAATTTTTCCAATTTTGTTTACCTTTTGAAATAATCAATTTTTTGTTTAATTGATTCTTTGTATTTTTTTGACCTCAATTTCATTTAGGTCTTCTGAGATCTTTGTTATTTCTTTTCTTTTGCTAGCTTTATGTTTGGTTCTTACTTTTCTAGTTCCTTGAGGTGTGACATTAGGTTGTTAATTTGTGTTCTGAGTTTTTTGATGTAGGCATTTAGCACGACAAACTTTCCTCTTAGCAGTGTTTTTATTGTATCCTAGGGGTTTTAGTGTGTTGTGTCTCCATTTTCATTTGTTTCCAAAATGTTTAAAGTTTTTATCTTAATTTCATCATTGATCCAAATATTATTCAGTAGTGTGTTGTTTAATTTCTATGTATTTTTTCAAGAGTTCCTCTTGGAATTGATTTGTAGTTTTATTCTACTTTTGTCCAAGAAGATACTTGATATGATTTCAGTTTTTAAAAATGTATTCAGACTTCTTTTGTGGCCTAATACATGGTTTGTCTTGGAGCACAGTCTATGTGCTGATGATAATAATGTATATTCTGTTGTTATTGGTTAGAAGGTTTTATAAATATCTATTAGATCAATTTGGTCTAAAGTCCAATTTAAGTAGTGTTTTCTTGTCTTGATAATCTGTATAGTGCTGTCAGTGGAGTGTTCAATTCCCCCATTATTCTTATATTGCTTTCCGTCTTTTTGGTAGGTCTAGTAATATTTGTGTTATGAATCTGGCTGCTCCAGGATTGGGTGCAGATAGATGCAGGATTTTTATATCTTCCTATTAGTTGAATCCATTTATCATTATATAATCACTTTTCTTTGACTTTTTTTACTGTTGATTTAAATTCTATTTTATCTTAGATAAGTATAGCTACTCTTGTTTGTGTGTATGTGTTTTGTTTTTCTTTGGAGAAGAAGTCTCACTCTGTCACCCAGGCTGGAGTGCAGTGGCACAATCTTGGCTCACCTCAACCTTCACCTCCCAGGTTCAAGTAATTCTCCTGCCTCAGCCTCCCGAGTAGCTGGGATTACAGGCACGTGCCACCATGCCTGGATAATTTTTTTTTTTTTTGTATTTTTAGTAGAGACAGGGTTTCACCACGTTGGCCAGGCTGGGCTCAAACTCCTGACCTTAAGTGATCCACCTGCCTCATCCTCCCAAAGTGCTGGAATTACAGGCATGAGCCACCACACCTGGACTCCTGTTTGCTGTATGGTTTCTGTTTCCATGGAATATCATTTTTCCACCCTTTTACCTTCAGTCTATGTGTCTTTAAAAGTGAGTTTCTTGTAAGTAGCATATAGTTAATCTGTGTTTTTTATCCATTCTGCAAATCTGTATCATTTGAATGGAGCATTTAATCCATTTCTCTTAAAAGTTAATATTGATATGTGAGGTTTTGTTCCTGTCATAATATTGTTATCTAGTTGCTTTGTAGATTCTTTGTTTCTTTTTTTCTCTGTCTTTTTGTGATTTGGTGGAGTTCTGTCATGCTGCCATTTTCTTTCTTTCTCATTCTTATTTCTGTGATTGTTTTATAAAATCTGTGAGTTTTATACGTTCATGGGATTTTAGGATAGTGAGTATCGATCGTTTGTTTCCATGTTTAGAACTCCTTTGCCTATTTTTGTTAGGACCAGTCTAAAGGTGTCAAATTCTGTCAGTGTTTGCTTGACTGAGAAAGACTTTATTTTTCCTTAATTTATGAAGCTCAGGTTTGTCAAAGATCAGATAGTTGTAGCTATGTGGCATTATTTCTGAGGGCTCTGTTCTGTTCCATTGATCTATATCTCTGTTTTGGTACCAGTACCATGCTGTTTTGGTTACTGTAGCCTTGTAGTATAGTTTGAAGTCAGGTAGTGTGATGCCTCCAGCTTTGTTCTTTTGGCTTAGGATTGACTTGGCAATGCTGGCTCTTTTTTCGTTCCATATGAACTTTAGTTTTTTCCAATTCTGTGAAGAAAGTCATTGGTAGCTTGATGGGGATGGCATTGAATCTGTAAATTACCTTGGGCAGTATGACCATTTTCACGATATTGATTCTTCCTACCCATGAGCGTGGAATGTCCTTCCATTTCTTTGTATCCTCTTTTATTTCATTGAGCAGTGGTTTGTAGTTCTCCTTGAAGAGGTCCTTCACATCCCTTGTAAGTTGGATTCCTAGGTATTTTATTCTCTTTGAAGCAATTGTGAATGGGAGTTCACTCATGATTTGGCTCTCTGTTTGTCTGTTATTGGTGTATAAGAATGCTTGTGATTTTTGTACATTGATTTTGTATCCTGAGACTTTGCTGAAGTTGCTTATCAGCTTAAGGAGATTTTGGGCTGAGACAATGGGGTTTTCTAGATATACAATCAGGTCGTCTGCAAGCAGGGACAATTTGACTTCCTCTTTTCCTAACTGAATACCCTTTATTTCCTTCTCCTGCCTAATTGCCCTGGCCAGAACTTCCAACACTATGTTGAATAGGAGTGGTGAGAGAGGGCATCCCTGTCTTGTGCCAGTTTTCAAAGGGAATGCTTCCAGTTTTTGTCCATTCAGTATGATATTGGCTGTGGGTTTGTCATAGATAGCTCTTATTATTTTGAGATACGTCCCATCAATACCTAATTTATTGAGAGTTTTTAGCATGAAGGGTTGTTGAATTTTGTCAAAGGCCTTTTCTGCATCTATTGAGATAATCATGTGGTTTTTGTCTTTGGTTCTGTTTATATGCCGGATTACATTTATTGATTTGCGTATATTGAACCAGCCTTGCATCCCAGGGATGAAGCCCACTTGGTCATGGTGGATAATCTTTTTGATGTGCTGCTGGATTCGGTTTGCCAGTATTTTATTGAGGATTTTTGCATCAATCTTCATCAAGGATATTGGTCTAAAATTCTCTTTTTTGGTTGTGTCTCTGCCCGGCTTGGGTATCAGGATGATGCTGGCCTCATAAAATGAGTTAGGGAGGATTCCCCCTTTTTCTATTGATTGGAATAGTTTCAGAAGGAATGGTACCACTTCCTCCTTGTACCTCTGGTAGAATTCGGCTGTGAATCCATCTGGTCCTGGACTCTTTTTGGTTGGTAAGCTATTGATTATTGCCACAATTTCAGCTCCTGTTATTGGTCTATTCAGAGATTCAACTTCTTCCTGGTTTAGTCTTGGGAGAGTGTATGTGTCGAGGAATTTATCCATCTTCTCAGAGAATACAAAATTTGAGTTTGGCATTTTTTTTTTAATTTAACCACTTTTGATAAAAGAATCCCACTCCATTCTGGCTCATAGAGTTTCTGCTAAGAAGTCTGCTATTAGTCTAGTGGGGTATCATTTATAGATGACTAGACACTTTTGCTGATTTTAGGTTTTTTCCTTGATGATCTTAGTCTGATGCCTCTATGTCATGGTGAGGTCCTTCTTGCAATGTATTTACTGAGCTTCTTGTATCAGGGTATCTATATCTTTTGCTAGACTAGGAAGCTTTCCTCAGTTATTTCCTGAAATTAATTTTCCAAACTTTTTGCTCTTGCTCTTTCTTCTTCTGTGTGAATATCTTTAATTCATAGGTTCAGTCATTTTGCATAATTCTATACTTCTCAAAGGCTTTGTTCATTTTTTTAAATTCTTTTTTCTTTTTGTCTGACCAGATTAATTTGAAAGACCTGTTTTCAAGTTCCAAGAGGATTTCTTCTGCTTTGTCAAGTGTATTGTTGAAACTTTCAACTATATGTTTAATTATTTCAATGAATTTTTCATTTCTAGAAGTTCTGTTGGCTTTAAAAAAAATCTATCTCTTTGATATATTTCTCATTCATATCCTGAGTTGATTTTCTGATTTTTTTTATTGGTTTTCAGATTTCTCTTGTATCTCATTGACCTTTACAATCTGTATTTTTAATTCGTTATCTGCTATTTTGAAGATTTCTCTTTGTTTAGGATCCATTGCTAGAGAATTACTGTGTTCCTTCAAGGGTGTCATTGCGTCTTGGCTCTTTTTTAAACTTCTAGTATTATTGCACTTATTCCTTTGCATCTGAAGTAACAATCATTTCTCATTTTTGAGTTTACTTTTATTAGGGCAGGTCTTTTTTTCTTCAAGATGTGTTTATGATGTATGGTTTGTAGGGTCATTTGGCTTTGATTATGGGTGCATTCAGTGGCATAGTCTCTGTATGATTTCCTGGGTCATAAATAGCCTAAATGCGGTGGCTTTCTCAAATGCCAGCTGTAGTAGTAATGTATTGGGCAAGTGAATGGACTCAGGGCCTTCTGAGTAGCCAGGGTGGTGTGCACAATGGTGGTAGCAGCAGTTACACAAATTTGTCTCCTTCCTAAGCACTGTGCAATTGTATCAGCAGATGCTGTAATGGTCTGTGCAGGTTGACCTCCCAGCTAGTAGGTGGTACTTTCATGTGAGTGCCAGCCACAGTGGTGACAGTAGAGTTTATGCTTCAACTTTTTTTTTTTATTATAGTTAAAGTTGTATGGTACACGTGCACAATGTGCAGGTTGTACATATGTATACACGTGCCATGGTGGTGTGCTGCACCCGTTAACTCGTCATTTACATTAGGCGTATCTCCTAATGCTATCCCTCCCCGCACCCCATGACAAGCCCTGGTGTGTGATGTTTCCCACCCTGTGTCCATGTGTTCTCATTGTTCAATTCCCACCTATGAGTGAGAACATGCGGTGTTTGGTTTTCTGTCCTTCCGATAGTTTGCTCAGAATAATGGATTCCAGCTTCATCCATGTCCCTACAAAGGACGTGAACTCATCCTTTTTTATGGCTGCATAGTATTCCATGTATGCTTCAACTTTTTTAACCAGGAGATGTCAGATGTCTTAGGCAATGAATTTGACTGTGGAACTCCCAGAGGTCCTTGTCCCATGCTCTGCTTCTGAGACAGGTGTAGGGGGCAAGCCAAGCAGGGCTGAGCCAGGAAAGCCCATGCTTGGGATCCCTAAGAGCTAACACAAGGGCTTACCCTGATGGGGGTCAGAAGACAGTTCTCAGGTCACTGGGCCAGTTCTCCAGGGAGGAGTGGAGCAACCACTGCCACACCAAAGAGCCAGCATGAAGAAAGAGGGGTGGCTAAGGCTCCACAGACTAGCAGGCTGCAGTGGTACCCACCTCACTCCTGTGATCTTGGCCCACTGGGACTCCCTCCTGTGGCCCACAGCTGGCCACAGCAAGCGAGAACAGCCAGCCACGTTACAAGCAGTCTGTCCTCAGACTGCAAACCTATCCTAGGTTAAGGAACTCTGCCTAGGTGAAAAACCATGGCTCCCAGGCCATACCTTTTCCAGTCTGGTCTTGCAAAGTGAGGGGGTGCCCAACTCCCAGGCCAGTGGCTGGAACACATGCCACACTCACCACTCCACTTGAGAATAGATCGCCATCCACAGTCAGGAAACTGTGTCTCTGGCCACTCTGGTGACATCATGGACAGCAATCACTCTTTAAAACAGTGACTGCTCCTCCCTCTATTGTTGCCAGGGACTGGGAGCATGCATGGGGCAATTTCTGCTGACACTTCTTCCCAGGGTCTCCCCACTGCTCCCCACATCAGATCCGGTGTTTGGTGGGCTCAAGGAGCCCCCAGGTAGCCTTGATTGCTTGACTCCCCAGTGGGAATGTATATCATAGAAACCTTCTCTACCTCTCTCATGAACTGAGGCTTTGCTCACAGTCTTCTGCTGCACCCACCATGCAGTCTGCCATCTATCATATTTTTCAGAGGATCCAAAGTTTCTTTTGCTTTTATCCTGAGCTCCTATGTTCCTTCTTAGATAGAAGTTCACAATGTAAATCTCTACATACTCTTTTCATATTTCCAAGGGCATGATTTTTCTATCTCTTCAGTGCCTCTTTCAATGATACAGAGTTAAAACCAGGTACTACAAAGGCTCACCTGATTTTCAGTTCTTATGAAGGTGTTTTTTTTTTTTTTATTTTTTCATGTAGACAGTTGTTAAATTGGTGTCCTTTATGATCGGTTAAGCCTTCTATTCTGCCATCTTGCTCCACCTCCAGGAAGTCCTTTTCCTCCCATAAATACTTTTTTATAATATTCAACAAACAGCACAATGACTTCCAGATGCTCTGTTGGGTACACTTCTCTACTTTTTTAATCCCTTCCTTTCTCTCTCAGGTAGACGCGTTGAGAAAGTTCCTTATAGGCTTCCAACTACAGTAAGTGTAATTCACCAAGGGCCTCAGGTGCAGTACTCCAAAATTCACTGTTGTATTTGGACTAAAATCATGCCTCCCATGGACTGTTCCTGCCATATGATTGAGCATGGCAGGCAAATTAAGGCAGGCAAATTCCTAAGAGACATGGAACTCCTCTGGACAAATGTCATGGGTTTGAGCACTCCACCACAGTCTTGACAAACCTTCCTGAAATCACAAGGTAGCCTAGAACACTTCTACCCAACTTTCCTTCCCTCACTCCTTCATTTTAGGTCTGATGACTTTTGCAGTCTTTCCCAGCTCCCTTCCCATTTTCTGTCACTGGTGTCTCCCCTAATAAAAATCTTGTACATTTAACTGCATCTTAGGGTTTACTCCTCAGAGGTCCCAGACTGGCACTCTTTCCCCTTCCCCTTCCCCTTCCCCTTCCCCTTCCCTTCCCTTCCCTTCTTTTCCTTTCTCTTCTCTTTTATTCTATTCCTGAACAATTCAGTTCTAAAGATATTGAGTCCAAGCCTTAGCAAGGTAAGGATGGCATATCTACAGAGGGGTGGCCTGGCTCAAGAAGTCATATCTTAAGTAGCATGAGGAGGGCATTCATGTAGGCTGGGGGATATGTTTGGCTCAGAATGGGGACTCAGAGTGAGAACAGAGATAAGACAGTATCTGCAAGGGGGAGGGTTGTGGATGCATAAATGGGAGATTGGTTTCTTAATCAAAGAAGTAAGTATATTAAGTATAATTAAAGCCAGGTTTCTCTGCCAGAGAAGGACATTACAAATTTGGAAAAGGAGAAAATGAGAATACACATTGTGGTTTTCGTTTAACCATGAACCCTAAAAGCCACCACACCCCTATAGTATTGAACACTTAATACCTAGATTTAGGCCTCTAAATACCAATATCCACTAAAAGGAATGATGGTTCTTTGGAGAAATGGTGATTCCTGGGCTGGTACAGGAAAAATACTAGATGAACCTGGGACATCTTGTGCCATAGAGCCAGGAAGTACAAAAGAACAATGGTGACATGTTGAAAGGATAAGAAGTCAGGTCTTAAGGAAATCCTACTGACTAAATGGAGGATATTTGGGGCATAAAAATAATATTAATAGTAGATTATAAATCATTGAGTAAATCAGAAACTAGTGTGTCCTTGCAGATATAAATAAATGAATGACAAAAGTTTGATGGAGAACAGAATAGCTAAATAAGACAAATTGAAATTGTGTGCCATCCAATAGGACACAATAAGATCACAACATACTGTGATATTCCTGCTGAAGATACATAACCTAAATCTAGTGATGACGAAGCATGAGACAAACCCAATTCATAAACATTCTAAACAAACAAACAAATAAATGCACAAAAACTTACTAGCTTGTAATCCTCAAAAAAAGTCAAGGTCATGAAACTCTGGGAGAGACTGAGGGACTGCTCCAGGTTGAAGGAGACTAAAGAATCGTGGCATCTAAATACAACATGTGATACTGAACTGGATTCTTTTGCCATAATGTACATTATTGAGACTCTTGGTAAAATTCCAGTAGGGTCTGTTAATTGTCTTGTTTTGATGATTATATTGTGGTTACATAGATGGTGTCCTTACTTGTAGAAATACACGCTAAATTATTTGAGGGTGGAGGTGCATCAGGTAAGCAACTTAGTCTGAAACAGTCCCGAAATAAAAATGTTTTCTACTGCACTTATACTTTTATTCTAAGTATGCAATTGTTTCAAAACAAAAATAAAAATATAGGTTCCTATGTCCTATCTTCAAAGATTCTTATTTAGTATTAAGATCTGGCTTCAAAATTGGTCTTTGTAACTACGTCTCCAAGACATTTCAATGCACATCAAATCTGAGTCATTGCATTGGAGAAAACTTATCAACAAGATAAACAGGAGTAACAATTGTGAGTTGATTTCTTTGCTGTGGTTGTGTTGACTTATTATAGGATTTCATGCCCAAGACTTTGCTGACTTTTAGAGAGAGAATACTTTTCTGGAATTCTTATAGGATACCACTCAATATTTGTCCAAGGCTATTTTATGTTATAAAAACGTGGTAAGGACTGAAGCACATCTTTTTGTCTGTATGAATACTTTATTTGTAGCTGGTTTTAAGAGTTATTTCCTATAAAAATGAAGTGAAAGTAATTACCAGTTGTTGCCAAAGTGGCCTTTTATGACCACCTTAATTATTTACTCTGTATCCCCAATGAGCTTGTATGTTTCCAGAGTGTATGTATGAATGAGGTTGTTTTTTCCAACATTATATTCCCTAGTGCCTAGCTCAGTACAGGTTATAGGGTTGGTGCTCAACTGTATGTTGAATAAAAGTAATGGATGCCATGGCTCTCTCTTCTCAAGTTTTCTGCAGTAATTCTCTTCTCAATGAAATACTGTTATTAGCATACTGATGTTCATTCATTCATTGGTTAGAATATTTTATCCCACATAAAATGTTCATTTTTTTTTTCTGAGACAGAGTCCCACTCTGTCACCCAGACTGGAGTGCAGTGGCATGATCTCGGCTCACTGCAACCTCTGCCTCCCAGGTTCAAGCGATTCTCCTGCCTCAGCCTCCTGAGTAGCTGGGATTACAGGCACCCTCCACAATGCCCAGCTGATCTTTGTATTTTTAGCAGAGACAGGGTCTTGCCATGTTGGCCAGGCTGGTCTCAAACTCCTGGCCTCGGGTGATCTACTCGCCTTGGCCTCCCAAAGTGCTGGGATTACAGGCGTGAGCCACCGTGCCCAGCCCCAGCTTTTTAAGTTATAAAAATAGCCAGAAATTAAAATTGGGACCAGGTAATAAAGAACGATAGCTGATTTGGTTTGGCCTTATTCATTATCTTTGTCTCATCAATGTAATGTAGTTAGAATAAACTCTAATGTGTGCAATACATATTAGCATATACATATATATTAATGAATATATATACTCATTAAACATATCATATTTTCTCACATCTATATAGTGGAAAGGAGTAATAGTGTCTTCTGAAGTTATGTTCAGCATATTCGGACCCCTGAAATGCTTGAAGTCCCCAAAGTGAAAAGTCACCCCATCTACACCTGGGGCACATCAGTAACATTATTGAGAGATTGGTGAACTGAGAAGAGAAGCCTTTAGCAAAGTTCTAGGTGGAGACCCATGTGTGTCAGAATCCTGGGATGTGATGGAAGCTTGTGTTTCTCACAAATTCTAACATTGCTTAATAGGTTTTGTTTACACACAACTGGGTTCAACCATAAGTCACTCAAGATTTAAAGTAGCACCATCAAATGCTTTTTAAATTACTGGACTGTTTTATGGGGTATGGCTTGAGGTTTCAAGCATTCAAATAATTAGCTCTATTATTATTTGATTGAGATTCAACATATCTGAATTAGGGATGTTTGTACAGTTGGCCCTCCATATCCACAGATTCCACATCCATGGATTCAATTATCTGTGGATCAAAAATATTTGGGGAAAAAAATGGGTGATTGTGTCTGTACTAAACATGCACAGATTTTTTTGTCACTATTCCCTAAACAATACAGTATAACAACTGTCTACATAGCATTTACATCGTATTAGGTATTATAAGTGATCTAGAGATGATTTAAAGTATATGAGAGGATGTGTGTAGGTTATATACAAACACTACGCTATTTTATATAGAAATCTTAAGTATCTGTGGATTTTGTTATCTGAAGGGGTCCTGGAACCAATCCCACACAAATACCAAGGGATGACTGTAACACTAAGCAAACTGTATCTGAAAGAAATAAAAAGAAAAAATATAATACTTGAGAGCAGGTGACACCATTTATTGAAATCTAAATTTGTAAATGAAGTTTTTAAGCGAAAGATAAATTTGAATTTAGGGCACATAAATGTCTTCTTTTGAGAAGTGTCTGTTCATATCCTTCACCCACTTTTTGATGGGATTTTTTTTTCTTGAAAAAGCTCATCATCACAGGTCATTAGAGAAATGCAAATCAAAACCACAATGAGATACCATCTCACATCAGTTAGAATGGCATTCATTAAAAACTCTGGAAACAACAGATGCTGGCAAGGCTGTGGAGAAATAGAAACACTTTTACACTGTTGGTGGGAGTGTAAATTAGTTCAACCATTGTGGAGTGGCAATTCCTCAAGGATCTAGAACCAGAAATACCATTTGACCCAGCAATCCCATTACTGGGTATATACCCAAAGGATTATAAATCATTCTCCTATAAAGACACATGCACATATATGCTTTTTGCAGCGCTCTTTACAAAAGCAAAGACTTGGAACCAACCCAAATGCCCATCAATGATAGACTGGATAAAGAAAATGTGGTACATATACACCATGGAATACTATTCAGAGATAAAAGGGAATGAGATCATGTCCTTCGCAGGGACATAGATGAAACTGGAAGCCATCATCCTCAGCAAACTAACACAGGAACAGAAAACCAAACACTGCATATTCTCACTCATAAGTTGGAGTTGAACAACGAGAACACATGGATACAGGGAGGGGAACATCACACACCAGGGACTGTCGGGGGGTCGGGGGGAAAGGAGAGGGAGAGCATTAGGACAAATACCTAATGTATGCGGGGCTTAAAACCTAAATGACAGGTTGATAGGTGTAGCAAACCACCATGGCACATGTATACCTATGTAACAAACCTGCACGTTCAGCACATATATCCCAGAACTTAAAGTAAATAAAAAATAAAAAAATTAAAAAGGGGGAAAAAATTGAATTTAGGAAGAAATGTGTTCCTTTCACTATTGTGCCAAATATATATTATTTGCAGCAGATCAATATGTTAGAAAAAAGACCATTTTAAAACATGTTTGCAGTGGACCTTGCATATCATTGTAATGTATTGGAAAATACATGCCTAATAAGGACTGCACAGTGACACTCACCATCAATAAATTTTACCACACACTAAATATTAACAAGGTATCTGGCAGAAATCTGATAGCAAAATGGCATCAATTACAATAAGTTTCATAATTTACTTGATGAGAAGAAGGAAAATAAACAGCTAACACTTATAGGTTACATAACTTAGAGTACAAGTCTCAGCATGTTACAAATACAAAATTTAAAATATTTAAGAGAAACAACATTATCCACGAGTTGAAATTTAGTTTTAAGATATAAGACAGAAGTGAGTTAATTTTAATTCCTGTAGCATCAAACATTTCTAGTGTTTTAGTTCATGTTTCTTAATCTTTTGCATTTCACAAAATAGTTCACTTTCTGAATAAAGGAAAACTGAATTTTTAATGAGATTTTGTATATAAATGAAACATGTGAAACATAGAACCAACCAAGATTTTCAGTGTGTAAGTCAGTAGGTTAGCTCTTCTTTTTATTACATAGAATTAATCATAACATTTTTTCTACTTTTTTATGATATTTAATTACTAATTTCGGACACAAAAGGTAACATTTGAAATATCTATTTCTCTACTTGCCAGCTTAGCAAGGCAAAGTATAAGAACCACAGGTGTATGTTACCAGTACAAATGAAGTGATATTGGAATCTTTCTACAGTAAAATATAAAATAATCTTAAGGTGCTTAAGAAAGTAACTGTGTTAAAACTATCAATGATTAAACACAAGTGCAAACGATGGTGTATATATTTATTTCCAAGCCTCCTTTCTGTGTGTTTCACATATATGTGCATTCATGCACACACACACTCACAGAGAAAGATAAAAAAAGATAGTGCCTACATCATACCACGACACTTGGACAAAAGACCATGGTAGCAGCTGCATCAGTAGGTGTAGAAGTGATTTCGATTTTATTTTATTTTTTGAGACAGGGTCTCACTCTGTCATCCTGGCTGGAGTGCAGTGACATGATCATGGCTTCCTGTAACCTCGAACTCCTGGACTCAAGTGATCCTCCTGTCTCAGCTTCCCTAGTATCAGGGACTGCAAGCGTGCCTGGCTAATTTTTTTTATTTTTTGTAGAGATGGCAGGGGGTGGGGTGGTCTCACTTTGTTGCCTAGGCTGGTCTTGAACTCCTGGGCTTCAAGCAATCCTCCCACCTTGGCCTCCCAAAGTGCTGGGAGTACAGATGTGAGCCACCGGACCCAGCCTATTTGTATATTTTTGCAAACAATCCTAATAAATGATTGGTACATTTTGCTGCAAAAATAAGATTAATCTAGTAAAAATTTTGCATTTAAATTGTTTTAACCCCTCTGCAATATTCTTTATTAGAATTTTAACTTAGTAAGATATTAAAATACCTGTTGTAAGCTTTGCAAGATTAGGATAATTGTACAGATTGAGCACCAACAGTTTAATATCCCGGTGTTGTGATAATTCAACCCCAGAATTAAAAAAAAAAAACCTATCACATCAATCTATACCACATTTTATTTAAAGATACGATAGAGGCCAAGGTATACATGCCACATATATATTAAAATATCACCTTGAATGCTACACTGTTTAAACCTATCCAAGTAGACACTTCATACATAAGACAGAAGTCAACAATGGCCAGCAATTAATGGCAATACACATTTTAAAAAATTGAATACAGTATCAGTGTAAAAATGGAAGGTGTTTCATAATACCAGTGTACTTTACTCACTGTCCTTTTCTTTGAAAATAAATTCAAGTTGTATCTTTCATTTCCGAAAGGTAGAAAATTTAAATTCATAATGAATAGTAAAATTTTAAGCACTGCATCAGCTCTTGCTCATTTTCTTGAATCAGGAAAGGGTTTTGTTTGTTTGTTTGTTTTTTGTTTTTTAAGTTAAAACAGATTTGTTCTCTAGTCACTGGTGATAAATGTAGAAAAAGAAATATAAAGTCACTTACTTGAAACATACTGCACACAGATACAACAAACAAACACTTGGTTTGAGAATTTGACAGGCTTAAAGGTTTGAGAAGGTGTAATGTGTAGAGGTGTTATTACTGAATTTTGACAATAATGGATATTTCCAAGTCAATACGACATCTTTGTGATCTTTTCTTCTTCACAGACTTTTTAATCCGTCTGAGTACTGCACATGTGTTGCCATTAGCACTTGTTACATAGCATTGAAATGTTAAGTTTCAGGAATGAACTTTGTCCATTATTATTCTGCAGCTTTAAAATTCTGAAATGTATGTGTATTTATTTTTGAATGACTAGATACACTTATGGAAGAATTATGAAAATTAGTATTTTCATGATGATCTTCAGTATTGTTGGGCTTTGGGGAAAATCAGCAATATTAACTGTTAATAATTCTAACACAATTTAATATTATATTACCTATAATTTTGAATGTCACTGCATTTCTAAAGTTTTATTTTGAAGATGATCTCTTATTTTACTCTAGTATAAGAATAGAAAATGTAGTTTGTAGGTAAATACTAGTCGCATAAGATAATCAAATCTACTGGAGGTAAGTCAGCTTTAAAAATAAACTCTTAAATATTACTTTTTAATAGCAAAAATATGCTGTAGGCAAATTCATAAATTGATGATGTATATCATAAGAATTAGGAAATCGGTGGTAGCATAAACTTTTTTTTTTTTTTTTTTTTGAGATGGAGTCTTGCTCTGTCACCCAGGCTGGAGTACAGTGGCATGATCTCGGCTCACTGCACCTCTGCCTCCCGGGTTCAAGCGATTCTCCTGCCCCAGCCTCCTGTGTAGCTGGGACTACAGGCGCACATCACCACTCCTGGCTAATTTTTGTATTTTTAATAGATACTGAGTTTCAGCATGTTGGCCAGGATGATCTCCATCTCTTGACCTCATGATCCACCCATCTCAGCCTCCCAAAGTGCTGGAATTATAGGTGTGAGCCCCTGCACCCGGCCAGTGGTAGCATAAACTTTAGGGATGTTAGTGCTAAAGTTTAATTATTGTAAGGCTTATTTGTTCATATTAATAAAAAGTAAAATGACAAGTTCAAACGTGCAAAAAAGTTCGTAAAAACCTTCAAAATACATCATTTTATTTTTTTCCTTTTTTAAAACTAATGTATCAATCTATTTTGCACACCAGCAAAGGATACAAAAAAAAAAAAAAAATGAGATGCTGCCCACATGAAAAGTGGGAAGACAGTGAGACAAACAATATAATCGTCTATTATTATGCAACTAATTCCTTTTCTAATGGCAAATGAGATATCTGTTTCATAATCATTCCATTCACTTGGCAAAAGAATGCTAAAATATGATCTGGGACTGCTCACAATATTTTATCATTAATTTCTAAGTTTCTTTTTTGATTTTCAAGTTTTAGGTTCAGGGGTACATATTCAGGACGTGTAGGTTTGTTATATAGGTAAATGTGTGCCATGGTGGTTTGCTACAGTTTTATTCTAATTTCTGTTTTGCTCTTCTTTTATCCCCCCACTTTCTACAAGATTATCACACATCAATGAGGCTCTTTGCTCTTAAAAGATTTATTGAACAGTCATATGCACTTTATACCCTATGATCTACTAAAAGCAATTTGCAATATTTTGAGTTTTCACTTCTAAAACATACTTAATCATTAGATGGAAACGCCACATGCAATAAATGAAGCTTTCTTGCTAGTTAATGGATTTTAATATAAATTATACACACCGTCTATACTGTCTCATTCTTAAAAAGAAATACTGTTGTGCATTCAGTTACCATGAGTTTAATGTTCAAAATTAATGCCCTTGCTTGATTTTTTGGATAAATTTTCTTCATAGTTGTGTGTTGTAATTTTATAATGATTCTTGATATTGTGGTTTTCTGAAATAAATTAAGGCTTCACTACATGTGTAAAGCCTCAATTCTTCATTTTACCTTCTAATTATAGACAAACAGACCATCTGAAATATATATTTTTTAATGTTACAAACTGTTGAAGTCCCTTTGTTCTAATGTACAGGTCATGGTTATGTATGAATGATTTCCCTATTCAGAATGCTTCAAAAATATTTTGAATTGAATTAAATGGTTTGAGAAATATTTTTCTAACGCTGTGTTTATTGAAATGAAAGTAGCAGTTATGATATTTGAATACTACATTTTGTTGGTTCTTAGATAAGTGTTTTTGTGTCAAATATTTTTCTCCTTAGTTCCATCATATTAACCTTTGAGGAAAATATTTTTTCATTTGCTTAATTTTTGAAGACTTAAACAGACATAAAAGAAATATTATTTAGTAAAGAAAACTCTTTCATTCTTCTGCTAAGTAACTTGTGAATTAAAAATTATTTCAACTTATCTGAATGCACATTGTACAATTTAATTTACAAATTAAAATTATTTTAGTATAATTAGGGGAATGTATGTAAAACATCTGTAAAATTAGAAGAATTCATCTGTTACTCACACTGAGCAGTGCACACTTTACATTTTTCTAGAGCCTTAGAAGGAAACAATATGGCTAATTATGGTGGTTAACCAATAACTATTTATTGTTGTTTTCTGATTAACTGTTCTTTCTTGCATAGTAAAATATGCAGGACACTTTCAGAGTTCTTTCTCCCATCCTACGCTATCATCAATTTTAGCAAGTAATTTTCTTCTTATTTTATAGGAGCATATTAAAATATAGAAATATTACATGTAGGTAATTTTAATCTGTCATTTATTTGGAAAAAGTAAGAGAATTAGAAATGGCTCATCATTTTCCTTCTTCAATCCTATGCCTTTAGATTTTCAATTTTAACATTTTTTTTTTCCATGAAGGCCTCAGGTTCAATTTATGTGAAATTTGTGAGGAAAATTTCTTATTCCGTATATTCCATGTTCTTTACTCTCTCTTTCCTCTAGAATTATGATGATTATTGAATGACTTTAGATAATTTACTTGACGTAGAGAGCCCTAAGAAGACATGGGACAATCTTGGAAGATAAATAGTGATGTGTCATTGAAACTTTTGCATTGCTCAGTTCTGAACTAACAATATTTGGAAGTAATTTTCTTTACGAGATTCAGAATTATCTTCTTAGACCATCTTCACATTTGATTCTTTACCTTAGTTTCATTCAGTTTCTTAAAATTTTGCAAAGAAGCACCTGGCCACTTCACATATAATTTTTTATGTTTAAAGTCACTAAATACAGTACCCCAAAAATATATTAATCATAAAGGATGAGAAATAACACTGATATAGCAGGGTTTTGCTGCTGTTGTTGATGGTGGTAGTGTTTTAGTGACCATTTTCAATTATATGTCAGTATTATATATGGTTGAGCACAATTTTGTTTGTCTTTTTTTTCACTTGCTTTGTAGTAAATGTTAGTTCTTAGTGAGCCATTTCTCAGTTTCCATCTTATTTTACTGTTTTTGCACCCATAAGGTGGTTCCCTTTGAAGATCAGAAATGTAATAGTTCTATTTCACAAAGTCAGTGTGACAACATCGTGTATATATAGACTCTCTGTTAAACAAGGTGAATTGTCAGTTTGTTTTTTTCTGAGTCAGGCATTGACAGTCACTGAAGTATGGCATCCTGTATCCTTCCATTACTTCTGTGGTCTTGCTACCCTATACGAAATTCAGGTTACTCAAGTCTGAAATGGTATGCTATCTTCTGGGCTGGTAAGAAATAGGGGAAAGAAATCTCACTACTTGTCCTTTTCTTCTGATGCCAAAGCCATGGTTCAGTAAGCACACACTGAACCAGGGGGTAGTGAAGAGAGGGCTATCCTCTTTACCTTCTTCCTCAAAGACCAAATGGATCCTGTGAGTGGGCAGGAGTTTGCCATTAGACTACAGATTACCACCACTTGCATTATGTGGTAAGACACACAATTAGGGGTTAGGTGGTAACCTAAAATTTAAATTACCCTTGGTTTTGTAAAAACAACAGCTACCATTATTCAGCATAGTTGAAAATTTAAATGTACAAATTGAATAATGGCCCATACACCCCGAAACTTTGGAAAAAAATATATTATGTTTGAATATAATGAGATTATTTCCCCCCTGTAGTTTATGAGCTAGCCTCATTACCTTCCAGTCATATCTTACCTATCTTAAAGGTTTTTGTGAAATAAATTTTTTTTTTTGCTTTTTTGTTTTGTTTTTTTTTGTTTTTGTTTTTGTTTTTGTTTTTGTTTTTGTTTTGAGAGAGAGTTTCGCTCTTGTTGCCCAGGCTGGAGCACAATGGCACGATCTTGGTCACCGCAACCTCCGCCTCCTGGGTTCAAGCAATTCTCCTGCCTCAGCCTCCCGAGTAGCTGGGTTTACAGGTATACGCCACTATGCCCGGCTAATTCTTTGTATTTTTATTAGAGACAGGGTTTCTCCACATTGGTCAGGCTGGTCTCGAACTCCCAACCTCAGGTGATCCACCCGCCTCAGCCTCCCAAAGTGCTGGGACGCCTGGCTGAAATAAATGTTTTTTAAAACCAAATTTTACAGGTAACTATGATTGTGTAATTTGAATACCATGATGATCATCTGGCCATTAAAAAGTGGTCCTCTTCTCTCTGAGAAGGGCATTCTACTCAGTGATTTGGTAAAATATTTCAATAATTTCCCCCTTATGCCCTGTGTCTTTTTATGCCAAACTAATTTGGTAGTTGAGAGGAATAAACTAAATTAATTTTCAAAACAAAAGTATTAACATGCAATATTTTAGGCATCCTGTAGTGTTGTTAGTGTTGTCTTATTTATATTATTTACATTAACACTACATATAATATTTACAGTTCTACAGTTGTTTTTCTTCTAATATTTTTAAGAATTCCAGTAAATGGGCCGGGCGCGGTGGCTCACGCCTGGAATCCCAGCACTTTAGGAGATCGAGGAGGGCAGATCACGAGGTCAGGAGTTCGAGACCAGCCCGACCAACATGGTGAAACCCCGTCTCTACTAAAAATACAAAAATTAGCTGGGC
Organism: Homo sapiens; assembly: GCF_000001405.40. NCBI lineage: Eukaryota > Metazoa > Chordata > Mammalia > Primates > Hominidae > Homo > Homo sapiens. Next base: position 84,978,639 of record NC_000023.11, on the reverse strand, counting down.
GTGGTGGCGGGTGCCTATAATCCCAGCTACTCAGGAGGCTGAGGCAGGAGAGTCGCTTGAATCCGGGAGGCAGAGGTTGCAGTGAGCCGAGATCCTGCCATTGCACTCCAGCCTGGGTGACAGAGCAAGACTCCGTCTCAAAAAAAAAAAAAAAAAAAGAGAAAGAATTCCAGTAAGTGTTTATACTTTTCTCAGATGTGTTTCACAAAAATAAATACACATATTTAAGTACTCTTGTTAATGAGCTTTCTGCAGAGGTTCTATCTGGACATTTCAGAGAAGCACTGTATTCAATAATCTTTTGCCAAATTTCCTGTTTCCTTAGCTTTCAGTCAATAAATTTCTTGGATATTAAGCTAGACTCATATAGATAACTGTTAATAACTATGAGATTGCTTTCATTTGCCCATCAAAATATCCAAGAAGACCTGCCATTGTTGGGAATATGAGATACACAATATTATTTGAAGGTTAGTTGCTATTTTGTTTAGTGATATAGACACTGTATCTCTTTAGCAAGTAGAAATCTAGGCTTAAGGAATTAAGCATCTTACTCCTTCACAACTCAACCCCTAACCAAATTATCTCATAGATAATTGATGGTTCCCATTCAGAATAAACTAGCAAATAAACCCAATCCAATGCCAAAAAAGACAATCATCAGTGTATTTATATATTTATTTATTCATTTTGAATTTAAATATTACATTTACTATTTTGAGTTGTAAGACTTGGTACGTAGCTGTTTAGATGTTAAGTGTTGTGATGTGTTTATTTAACTATTAGGACTACTTTGTAAGATGTCAGCTTTTATAATTGGAGATCACCTATCTCTGAGAGCTCAAGAGGTGGAGAGGATACAGTATGTCTGCTGGAAGTTCCAACATTGCGCCTGAGAGTTTCAACATTACCCATGGGAACCCCAACACCACTGCCCTTGGGAACACTACCATTGCCTCTAGGAACTTCAAGATTACATTGAAGTTCCAGCAATGCTCCAGCATTGCCTCTGGGAACCCCAGCATTATTTGTAGGAACCTCAATATTAAACTTATGAGGAACTTCAGCATTGCCTCCATGAACTTCAGGATTATCCATGGGAATTCCAACATTAACCATAGGAATACTGACATTATTTCTGGGAATTCTAACATTGTTCCTGGGAAGTCCAGTACTATCTTCAGGAATTCTAATTTTACCCCAAATTTCAGAAGAATTCTAAAAGCTTGAATTGATAGGAAAATAGTCTGCAGAACCTGACAAAATGGCCTTTTGCCAAGCTTCTTTAATGCTGTCTCTTTCATTTGCATTTTCTAAAACACATAATCAGAAGTTGTTTTTAAAAGATGGAAGATTGACTACTGTTTTGAGAAGAAACTGTAAGAATGACAGATAAGTATATCCAAATTTGATACCAATCCAATCATCTAACAGTTCCAAATCACATGGCACTATCATCACGGTATGTAACCTTCTGTTTAGCAAAATATCTTAATATCTGTTTTGGGTATAAAAGGTGAACAGAAAAAAATCCAAAGTTGTGGTTAATGGTTTCACACAATGACCAGGAATTTGTGGACAGTGGAAAGTAGAAAAATGGAGGAACAACCGAGAGAGGAAGAACAATATTGTGATGAGAGAGGAGCTGCAGAGGGGTGATAAATGAAGGATGAGATGAAGAGTTCAGTGGAACTATGAAATCAGAGAGAGGGGTAACCATGAAAACGGAAGCCTCTAGGAATTTGCAGGAATTTTGAGGAGGGTGTTGGATGTGATTTTGGGGTTGAGCCAATTTTATAAACATTTCAAATGATAAAGTGATCTAAGCTGATTTTGAATACTTAAATTTTAGTGCCTGATAAATAATTTATCAGTCTTGAATGTGTGTAGAAAAAGAAACAAATTACAGAATGACCAAATTATGATTTGCATACAAAGTTTGTGTTAGATTCCAGATTCTTCTCTGGAACTACCTTCTGTAGTTTGGTGGGGCTATTTCTAAGAAAGATTTCTAGTTGATGACACCATTTTCATGAAGTTATGGGGGTCGGTTTCTAACATGAGTTAGAATTAAAAATTCCTAGTACTATTTGGTATTCATAGTATTATTTTCATATATGTTTAAATAGCTCTAATGATAAAAACAAAAATGTTACCTTACAGTTAAGTGCAGATTTCAGCCTAGGATTTTAATGTACATTATAAATACATCATAAGTAGTTCTGTTAATATTACTTCAGGTATAGGCTATAATATTAATCATTTATTTGTCAATTAATACTTTTTAGCCACTATGGTGCTCACATGCAGGAGGAAATGGAGTGGAGTGTTTCTGTTTTAACCAACAGGGTTGTTACTGGGTGGATGGGTGTGTTAGAGGGTAAATGTTGCCATTCTGTCAGTTAAAATCTGTGATAGAATGAGGACTAGTCATTTTCTCAAGATTACCCACTTAACTGAAAGTTATTTTTAAAAGAGAAAATTTATTCCAAATTTCCAAAGTCATAACTAGTTTGTATATTTTAAGAGTTTATTTTCTCATAATTATTAACTGGGGTCTCATTGAAAGTATCCAACTTAAAGTCATACTGTGTCCAGAATTGGTGGGTTCTTGGTCTCACTGACTTCAAGAATGAAGCTGTGGACCCTCATGGTGAGTGTTACAGTTCTTAAAGATGGTGTGTCCGGAGTTTGTTCCTTCTGATGTTCAGACGTGTCTGGAGTTTCTTCCTTCTGGTGGGTTCGTGGTCTCGCTGGCTTCAGGAGTGAAGCCACAGACCTTCATGGTGAGTGTTACAGCTCATAAAGGCAGCACATCTGGAGTTGTTCGTACCTACCGGTGGGTTCATGGTCTCGCTGGCTTCAGGAGTGAAGCTGCAGACCTTCAGGGTGAGTGTTACAGCTCTTAAAGACTTCGCAGACCCAGAGTGAGCAGCAGCAAGATATATTACGAAGAGTGAAAGAACAAAGCTTCCACAGCGTGGAAAAGGACCCAAGGGGGTTGCAGCTGCTGGCTCAGGCAGCCTGCTTTTATTCCCTTATCTGACCCCACCCACATCCTGCTGATTGGTCCATTTTACAGAGAGCTGATTGGTCCATTTTGACTGGTACCTTTACAAACCTTGAGCTAGACACAAAGTGCTGATTGGTGCAGTTACAATCCTCTAGCTAGACATAAAAGTTCTCCAAGTCCCCACCAGACTAGCTAGATACAGAGTGCTGATTGGTGCATCCACAAAACCTGAGCTAGACACAGAGTGCTGATTGGTGCATTTACAATCCTCCAGCCAGACATAAAAATTCTCCAAGACCCCACCCTACTCAGGAGCCCAGCTGGCTTTGCCTTATGGATCCCTCGCTGAGGCCACAGGTGGAGCTGCCCGCCAGTCCCACTCCACGGGCCTGCACTCTTTAGCGGAGCAGGGGGTGGCACCTATCAGGGAGGCTCGGGCCAAGTGGGAGGCCACGGTGGTGGGGGGGGGGGGCTTGGGCATGGCAGGCTACAGGTCTTGATCCCTGCCCCGTGGGGAGGCGGCTGAGGCCCGGCGAGAATTCAAGCAAGGTGCAGGCGGGCCGGCAGTGCTGGGGGACCTGATGCACGCTCTGCAGCTGCTGGCCCAGGTGCTAAGCCCCTCACAGCCCAGGGCCACTCCAAGAGTGCAGGGCCTGCCGAGCCCACGCCCACCTGGAACTTGCCCTGGCCCGCAAGCACCACGTGCAGCCCCGGTTCCCGCCTCGCCTCTCCCTCCACACCTCCCGGCAAGCAGAGGGAGCTGGCTCTGGCCTCGGCCAGCCCAGAGAGGGGCTCCCACAGTGCAGCCACGGGCTGAAGTGCTCTTGAAGCATGGCCAGAGTGGACGCCGAGGCCAAGGAGGCACTGAGAGTGAGCAAGGGCTGCTAGCACATTGTCACCTCTCAATACTGTAATCACCAAATATTAGGCTTACAATTGTAGGGAACTCCCCAATTCTCTTAGAAAAAGCTGATACCTTATGGGATATAAAGAAACAGATTTCCAGGTGGTAAGTTTGAAAATGAATTCACTGATGAAAATCTGCTTGTCTGGAAAATTATACATAATTTACAAAAGTAGTTGAAGCGAGTTTGAAAATCTTACCTTCTGTGAACAAATTATGATCATTTGAGAAGAAGAAGCATTTCTCTTCTGGATGTTAACTCTGTTGCATTTAACTTTGGTGCATTTAGTTTTCAGCTCCTGACATCGCTGTATCCTGGCAGTCTGTGACTGTGCCACCAATGAAACTTAAGATGCTGGGGGCAGCAATGGAAAAGGGCCTTCCAAAGCATGGAGATGGTCACCCTTGAGTATGGTAGTTGCTTGATTCTCCTCTTCTGGTGGTAGCTGGAGGTAGCCAATCTCTCTCTCCTCTTCTGTCAGAATAGTTTGGAGAATGTGGATCCCTTCACCAATCAGCAGTGCTTCCAGGAGCTCTGCCCAGGAACTGCCGAAAGATGGTCTTTCTCTAAGAGAATACATGCTTCCGCCGGGCACGTGGCTCACGCCTGTAATCCCAGCACTTTGGGAGGCTGAGGCAGGGGGATCACAAGGTCAGGTGATTGAGACCATCCTGACTAACATGGTGAAACCCATCTCTAGTAAAAATACAGAAAAAAATTAGTCAGACGTGGTGGCGGGCACCTGTAGTCCCAGCTACTGAGGAGGCTAAGGAAGGACAATGGTGTGAACCCAGGAGGCGGAGCTTGCAGTGAGCCAAGATCGCACCACTGCACTCCAGCCTGAGTGACAGAGCGAGACTCCATCTAAAAAAAAAAAAAAAAAAAAAAAAAAGAGAATACATGCTTCTTGCTACTTCCAGTTCATCACTTCCTGGGGACTCTGCATTTTCTGGAGATTCCAGATTTTTTGGAGTTTGTGGGTGACTCTATCCAGAGGATACTGAACAATTATTTGTTAAAGCTTCCAGGTGTATAAGCCCAGTGAATTTCAAAGTTGGAATTTCTGTATTATCTAGCTCTTCCTTTCCAGGTACAAGAGCAACAATATTGTGGCATCCTTTCCCCTTTGCTCTGGACTGTCAATTTCTGTAACATCTATGTGTTGGGATTCTAGGATCCTTGGAGATTTAACTGTCATTTTCTCTAGGTGAAGAAACCCTAAAATGTTTTTGGTTTTATAAGGGCTATTCCTTCTAACTCCTTAGTTAGTGGGGAGGTGGTAACCATTACCACTGGACTGATAATCCCCAAGGCCCTCTAATGGATACATTCTTCAGTGTGTTGTCAGGGGGCCATACTTGGTTTCTGTTGTTTTTGTCTTCTGGACTTATCCTGAACTTCCACATCAATAGGGCAGAAATAGATGAAATCCTCAGAAACATCTTGAGCATGTTTGTATTGAAAGTTTGGAGTCACAGAAACAATCTGAAAGAAAATTTAAGTTCAGAGATACTGTTCATCACATTACATCAACACACTTAATTCCCTTGCCTTCTGTTTGACACATTCTATCTTAGATCTGTAGGTCTAGGATAGCACTATAATAGACACTATAGACATATTCAGATTCCTCCAAATCATTGATAAATGTAAAGAATCCCCAAAAGAATTACTTTCTTTCTTCAAGGGACAGAATATTCTAGTCTAGTGTTTCTCAAAGTGTATTTCCTAGGATCTTAGTCTCATGAAAGGCTCCACCCGCTCCTCACACACATGATTCCATGGCCAATAATTGAGAAAATAACATATAATTATTACTTAGAGCTTCATAGTATAGGATACTATTAAAGGCTCTGAGAAGTCTTATTTATTGCTATATAATTAACTATATTATTAGCTATTATTAACTATACAATTAACTATATTAACCATGTCTTTTATTTTCTGTATTCTAATATTTTGACATCTCGGACCTTGCTAATCTTCGAGGCACTACCCCTCCTAGGGTTAGACAATTCCTAGAGATAGCAAACAATTTGCCTGTGAGTGCACCTTCCAAATGCAAATCAACCAATCGACAGCCAATATCCGAACCACTTCCTTTATTGGGCTCTGACACTTCAGACCACTGTCTGCCTGCCATAATCACCATAGGACCAGGTACCAGACAACTAGGTACAGCCCCTAAACCCTAGAGCCCATTGAAATTATTCTGACTAACCAATCCAAAACTTGTTTGCCCTGCCTCATACGAAGATCCGAAGACCTTGGTGCTTTCCATGTACCACACTCTATCCTCCAGTAACATGGCATGCCCATTCCTATTTGGATCTGTGAACAACAAACTTTTCTCAATAGCAGTCATCTCCTGGTCTGTTAGCCTTAACATATATAATAATATATAAATAGCAAATACAAATAATAAAACTTATTAAAACATTCACATACCATAGTCATCCTTTTAAAATGTGTACTTCAGTATTTTTAAGCATATTTACAGAGTTTGACAACCATCACTACTATCTAACTCCAGAAGATTTTCATCACCCCAAAAAGAAGTCCAAGGACACCAGCAAAAATAGCACAGTAAGGATCCATGAAAATTATTTCCTGATGGAAGGGGGCCAAGGTGGCCAACTAGAAGCAGCTGCGTTTGGAGGCTCCCACCAAAAAAAAACCCATAATAAGCGTGTGAATCCTTCATGGGCAACCAAGGTATCCAGGTTCTCTCATCAAAATTGACTACAAGGCTGGTATGACCCACGGGGAGAAGGAAGAGCAGTGTGGTGTGGGGCCCAACTGAGAGCCACATGGGGAAGGGGAACCCCTACTTCCCAGCCAAGGGAGGTGGTGAGTGAGTGCACTACCCAGCCAAGGAAACTGTGCTTTTTCCACAGAACTGTGCAACCCATGGATCGGAAGATCCCACTCATGAACCCACATCACCAGGGCCTAGCATCCCAACCCCAGAACACACAGATGCTTACAGCCTCCCAGCAGGAATCTGCCTAAGCCTACCAAACTCCTGGCAGGAGGGGTGACCAGCACCTGCTGAAGCAGCCTGCTGTCTAAGCCACTTGAGCTCCTTGGGGGAGGGTCAACAGCCAGCATTGGGACTCTCAATTACCTAACATGCTAAGCTCCCTGGGCAGGGGAAGGGTGGCACCAATTTCTATAGCTCCAAGCCATGCTTTTTCCCTGCTGGAGCCAGGGAGGCTGGACGGCTTGGTCCCAAGACTTGTCCACACAGCCCAACACACCAGCTGTGGCAGTCTGCAGCCAGAGTGCCTCTTCAGGCTTAACCCCAACCCATCCTTCCTCAGTGGGCAGGGCTTCCCTGCAGGATCTCCAATAACTCTAGCCAGAGGCTCAGGGAGAGAATTCAGATCTCCCTGGGTCTGAGCCCCTATGGGGAAGGGTGGCCATAGTCTCTGCAGACCAGCAGACTTAGCCTCTCCTCCTGGTAGTTCTGAGGAATCCAGGCAGCCTAGACCAGTGGGTTCCCCCCCACGCCCAGTGAAACACACCCTCTCTACCAAGGGACAAAGTGCTTCATTAAACGGGTCTTGCTCCCCATGCCACCCAACTGGGTGAGACCCTCTGACAGGGGTTGTCAGACACCGTATAAAGAAACAATCCTGCTGGCAACGGGTTGGTGCCCCTTGAGGTCAGGGGTCCCAGAAAAAGGAGCAGGCGCCCAGCTTTGCTGCTCTCCAGCCTCCTTGAATAACATCTCCAGGCACAGGAGCGAATCAGATGAATAGGGCCTGAAGTGAACCCCCAGCAAACTGCAGCAGCCCTACAGAAGAGGGACCAAATTATTGAAAGAAAATCAAGAGGAAAGCAACAACAGCACAAACAACAACAACAATGAAAAAGCCCCCACAAAAACCCCATCCAAGGGTCATCATACTCAAAGACCGAAACTAAACAAACTCACGAAGATGAGAAAGAATCAATGAAAAAATGATGAAAACCCAAAAGGCCAGAGTGCCTCTTGTCCTCCAAATGATCACAACATCTCTCCATCAAGGGCGCAGAACTGGACAGAGGATCAGATGGATGAATTGACAGAAGTAGGCTTCAGAAGATGGGTAATAAAAAACTACAGTGAGCTAAAGGAGCATTTTCTAACCCAATGCAAAGAAGCTAAGAACCTTGAAGAAATGTTAGAGGAATTGCTAACTAGAATATCCAGTTTAGAGAGGAACATAAACAACCTGATGGAGCTGAAAAGCACAGAACAAGAACTTCATGAAGTTCAACAGCTGAATTGACAAAGCAGAAGAAAGGATATCAGAGTTTGAAGACCACCTTACTGAAATAAGACATGCAGACAAGAATAGAGAAAAAAGAATAAAAAGGAATGAACAAAGCCTCCTAGAAATATGGGACTTCATAAAAAGACAGAACCTATGATTGATTGAAGTACCAGAAAGAGATGAGGAGAATGGAAACAAGCTGGAAAACACAATTCAGGATATTATCCAGGAGAACTTCCCCAACCTAGCAAGACAGGGCAACATGCAAATTCAGGAAATGCAGAGAACACCATTAAGATACTCCACGAGAAGATCAACCTCAAGACACATAATCCTCAGATTCTCCAAGGTTGCAATGAAGGAAAAACTGTTAAGGGCAGCCAGAGAGAAAGGCCAGGTAAACTACAAAGGGAAGCATATCACACTGACAGCAGACCTCTCAGCAGAAACTCTACAAGCCAGAAGAGACTGGGGGCAAATACTCAACATTCTTAAAGAAAAGAATTTTCAATCCAGAATTTCATATCCAGCCAAACTAAGCTTCATAAGTGAAGGAGAAATAAAATCCTTTCCAGACAAGCAAATGCTAAGGGATTTCACTTACCAGCAGGCCTGCCCTGCAAGGGCTCCTGAAAGAAGCACTAAGTATAGAAAGGAAAAACTAGTACCAGCTGCTGCAAAAACACACCAAAATATAAAGACCAATGACACTACAAAGAAACTGCATAAACAAGTGTGCAAGATAACCAAATAGTGTCATGATAACAGGATCAAATTCACACATAACAATACTAACATTAAATGTAAATGGGTTAAATGCCCCAATTAAAAGACAGAGACTAGCAAATTGGATAAGGAGTCAAGAACCATTGGTGTGCTGTATTCAGGAGACCCATCTTACCTGCAAAGACACACACAGACTCAAAATAAAGGGATGGAGAAAAATGTGCCAAGCAAATGGAAAGTGAAAAAAAGCAGGGGTTGCAATCCTAGTCTCTGATAAAACAGAGTTTAAACCAACAAAAGACAAAGAAGGGCATTACATAATGATAAAAGAAACAATTCAACAAGAAGAGCTAACTACTTTGAATATACATGAACCCAATTTAGGAGTACCCAGATTCATAAAACAAGTTCTTAGAGACTTACAAAGACACTTAGACTCCCACACAATAATAGTGGGAGACTTTAACACCCCACTGTCAGTATTAGACAGATCAACAAACAGAAAATTAACAAGGATATTCAGGACTTGAACTCAGCTCTGGAGCAAGTGGCCTAGGAGATGTCTAAAGAACTCTCTACCAGCGAGGCACAGTGGCTCATGCCTGTAATCCCAGCACTTTGGGAGGCTGAGGCAGGCAGATCACAAGGTCAGGAGTTCAAGACCAGTCTGACCAACATTGTGAAACCCTGTCTCTACTAAAAATACAAAAAGTAGCTGGGCATGTGGGTGCATGCCTGTAATCCCAGCTACTATGGAGGCTGAGGCAGGAGAATTTCTCTAACCTGGGAGGCAGAGGTTGCAGTGAGCCGAGATCAACACCAGCCTGGGCGACAGAGTGAGACTCCATCTCAAAAAAAAAAAAAAAAGGAACTCTCGATCTCAAATCAACAGAAGATACATTCTTCTCAGTGCCACATGGCACTTATTCTAAAATAGACCATATAATTGGAAGTAAAACACTCTTCAGCAAATGCAAAAGAACTGAATCATAACAGTCTCTCAGACCACTGTGCAATCACATTAGAACTCAGAATTAAGAAACTAACTTAAAACCACACAATTTTATGAAGTTGAACAATCTGCTCCTTAATGACTCATGGGTAAATAAGGAAATTAAGGCAGAAATAAAGAAGTTCTTTGAAAACAATGAGAACAAAGAGACAACATACCAGAATCTCTGGGACATGGCTAAAGCAGTGTTAAGAGGGAAATTTATAGCACTAAATGTCCACATCAGATAGCTAGAATGATCTCAAATTAACACCCTAACATCACAATTAAAAGAGCTAGTGGGGCGAGAGAAAACTAATCCAAAAGCTAGCAGAAGAAAATAAATAACTAAGATCAGAGAAGAACTGAAGGAGATAGAGACATGAAAAACCCTCCAAAAAATCAACAAATCCAAGAGCTGTTTTTTTTGGAAAAACTTAACAAAATAGATAGACCACTAGCTAGACTAATAAAGAAGAAGAGAGAGAAAAATAAAATAGATGCAATAAAAAGTGATAAAGGAGATATCACCACCGACCCCGAAGAAATACAAATTACCATCAGAGAATACTATAAACACCTCTATGCAAACAAACTAGAAAATCTAGAAGACATGGATGAATTCCTGGATGCATACACCCTACTAAGAGTACACCAGGAAGAAGAATCCCTGAATAGACCAATAACAAGCTCTGAAATTGAGGTAGTAGTTAATAGCCTACCAACCAAAAAAGCCCAGGACAGACAAATTCACAGTCGAATTCTACTAGAAATACAAAGAAAAGCTGGTACCATTTCCTCTGAAACTATTCCAAATAATTGAAAAGGAGGGACTCCTCCCTAACTCATTTTATGAAGCTAGCGTCATGCTGACACCAAAACCTGGCACAGATACAACAGAAAAAGAAAACTTCAGGCCAATATCCCTGATGAACATTGATGCAAAAATCCTCAATAAAATACTGGCAAACTGAATCCAGCAGCACATCAAAAAGCTTATCCACCATGATCAAGTGGGCTTCATCCCTGGGATGCAAGGCTGGTTCAACATATGCAAATCAATAAACGTAATCCATCACATAAACAGAACCAAAGAAAAAAACCACCTGATTACCTCAATAGATGCAGAAAAGGCCTTCAATAAAATTCAACATCTCTTCATGTTAAAAACTCTCAATTAACTAGGTATTGATGGAAGGTATCTCAAAATAGTAAGAGCTATTTATGACAAATCCACAGCCAATATCATACTGAATGGGCAAAAGCTGGAAGCATTCCCTTTGAAAACTGGTACAAGACAAGGATGCCCTCTCTCATCACTCTTATTCAACATAGTATTGGAAGTTCTGGCCAGGGCAATGAGGCAAGAGAAAGAAATAAAGGGTATTCCAATAGGAAGAGAGGAAGTTAAGTTGTCTGTTTGCAGAGACATGATCTTATATTTAGAAAACCCCATCATCTCAGTCCCAAAACTCCTTGAACTGATGAGCAACTTCAGCAAAGTCTCAGGATACAAAACCAATGTGCAAAAATCACAAGCATTTTTTTACAGCAACAATAGGCAAGCAAAGAGTCAAATCATGAAGGAACACCCGTTCACAACTGCTACAAAGAGAATAAAATACCTAGGAATACAGCTAACAAGGAATGTGAGAGACCTCTTCAAGGAGAACTACAAACCACTCCTCAAAGAAATCAGAGAGGAAACAAACAAATGGAAAAAACATTCCATCCTCATGGATAGAAAGAATTAATATCGTGAAAATGGCCATACTGCCCAAAGTAATTTATAGATTCAATGCTATTCCCATCAAACTACCATTGACATTCTTCACAGAAATAGAAAAAAACTATTTTAAATTTCATATGGAATCAAAGAAGACCCCGTATAGCCAAGATAATCCTAAGCAAAAACAACAAAACTGGAGGCATCACGCTACCTGACTTCAAAAAATACTACAAGACTACAGTAACCAAAACATCATGATGCTGCTACTAAAACAGACATATAGACCAATGGAGCAGAGCAGAGACCTCAGAAATAGGATGACACATCTACAACCATCTGATCTTTGACAAATCTAACGAAAACAAGGAATGGGGAAAGGATCTCCTACTCAGTAAATGGTGTTGGAAAAACTGGCTAGCCATTTGCAGACAACTGAAACTGGACCCCTTCCTTACACCTTATACAAAAATTAACTCAAGATGGATTAAAGACCTAAATGTAAAACCAAAACCATAAAAACCCTAGAAGAAAACCTAGGCAATACCATTCAGGATATAGGCATGGCAAAGACTTCATGATGAAAATGCCAAAAGCAATTGCAACAAAAACCAAAATTGACAAATGGGATCCAAATTAAACTAAAGAGCTTCTGCACAGAAACAAACAAACAAACAAACAAAAAACTATCATCAGAGTGAACAGGCAACCTACAGAATGGGAGAAAATTTTTGCAATCTACCCACCTGACAAACGTCTAATATCCAGAATTTACAAGGAACTTAAACACATTTACAAGAAAAAGACAAACAACCCCATTTAAAAGTGGGCAAAGGATATGACCAGACACTTCTCAAAAGAAGACATTTATGTGGCCAAGAAACATATGAAAAAAAGCTCAACATCACTGATCATCAGAGAAACACAAATCAAAACCACAATGAGATACCATCTCATGCCAGTCAGAAAGGTGATTATTAAAAAGTCAGGTTACAATAGTTGCTGGCAAGGCTGTGGAGAAATAGGAATGCTTTCACACTGTTGGTGCGAATGTAATTAGTTCAACCATTGTGAAAGACAGTATGGTGATTCCTCAAGGATATAGAACCAGAAATACCATTTGACCCAGCAACCCCATTACTGGGTATATACCGAAAGGAATATAAATCATTCTAATATAAAGACACATGCACATGTATGTTTATTGCAGCACTATTTACAATAGCAAAGACATGGAACCAACCCAAATTCCCATCAATGACATAGTGGATAAAGAAAGTGGTACATATACACCATGGAATACCATGCAGCCATAAAAAGGAATGAGATCATGTCCTTTGCAAGGACATGGTTGAAGCTGGAAGCCATCATCCTCAGCAAACTAACACAGGAACAGAAAACGAAATACTGCATGTTCTCACTCATAAGTGGGAGTTGAACAATGAGAACCCATGGACACAGAGAGGGGAAAAACACACACCAGGGCCTGTTGAGGGGTAGGGGTGAGGGGAGGGAAATTAGCAGATGGGTCAACAGGTGCAGCAAACCACCATTGCACACGTATACCTATGTAACAAACCTGAACGTTTTGCACATGTATCCCGTTTTTTGTTTGTTAGAAGAAATGAAGAAAAAAAAATTATTTCCTCCATAAAAGCAACGAGAAAACTAGCAGTAAGTGTCAGAATCAACCATTTTAAAAACTGTAGGCCGGGCGTGGTGGTTCACGCCTGTAATCCCAGCACTTTAGGAGGCCGAGGCAGGTGGATTGCCTGAGGTCAGGAGTTTGAGACCAGCCTGGCCAATATAATGAAACCCCATCTCTACTAAAAATACAAAAAATTTGTTGGGTGTGGTGGTGGTCGCCTGTAATCCCAGCCACTTGGGAGGTTGAGGCAGGAGAATCGCTTGAACTTGAGAGGCGGAGATTGCAGTAAGCTGAGATTGCACCACTGCACTCCAGCCAGGGTGACAGAGTGGGACTCTATCTCCAAAAACAAAACAAAACAAAAAACAAACAAACAAAAACTCTAGCAATTAACCACATGCTTGCTGCAATTTGTGGCCACTTATTCAAGAAAATCAACTGAATATTGGAGAGAACAGTGAGCTTTGTTGCAATTTAATATGCCCTATTTCCATTATCCCCCTATGAACTTCCACAGTAGCCTTGAAAACCAACATCCTGCAATCACCGGGATGACCAGGGACCTGACAGACATCAGAGGAGGCAGAACAGGGTTGGAGGTCCTTCAAAGACTCATTCCCACAGAACTGTCATTAATTGGCTTATCTGGCAAACACTAATCTAATTTCTGTCTCAATGGATTTGCCTGTTCTGGACACTTCATGTAAATAAAATTGTACAATACATTACCTAGTTTCTTTCACTTGGCATAATGTTTTAAAGATTCATCCATATTATAGCTTGTATTGCTACTTCATTCCTCCTTATGATCAAATAATATTCCAGTGTATGCGTATGTCACATTTTGCTTATCTATTCATTGGTTGAGGACATTTAGGTTGTTTCCACGTTTTTGCTCTTAGCAATAGTGTCACTCTGAACATTCATGTCTAAGTCTTTGTATGGACATATGTTTTCTTTTTTAAAATTTTTATTTTAGGTTCAAGGGTACATGTGCAGGTTTGTTTTATGTAAACTGTGTGTCATAGGGGTTAGGTGTACAAATTATTTCCTTACCCAGGTAATAAGCATAGTGCTCAATAGCAGTTTTTTAATCCTCTCCCTCCTCCCATTCTCCACCCTCAAGTAGGTCCTAGTGTCTTTTGTTGCCCTTCTTGTGTCCATGTGTTTCCAATGCTTAGCTCCCATGTGTAAGTGAGAATATGTGGTATATGATTTCCTGTTCTTGTTTTAGTTTGCTTAGGATAATGTCCCTTAGCTCCAACCATGTTCCTGCAAAGCACATGACCTTGTTATTTTTTATGGCTGTGTAGTATTCCATGGTGTATAAGTACCAAATTTTCTTTATCCAGTCTACTGTTGATGAGTATTTAGGTTGATTCATGTGAATATATGTTTACATTTCTCTTGGGTATGTGCCTCAGAATGGAACTACTGGGTCCTATTGTAAGTCTATAATTAACCATTTGAGGAATTGCCAGACAATTTCCCAAAGCAGTTGTACCATTTTACATTCCTGATAAGTCTTTAAAAATTGTATTTAACTTACTTTTTTTAAATGTAGTTTAATATAGCAATTTTTATAAGACCACTTATGAACATTTTATGGGAACATTCTGTGGCAAAGTCTATTCTAATCAAATAGACAAGGACCTCCTCCTCACATTGTCATTCCAAAAATAAAAAAATAAAAATAGGGTACTACTGAATAGCACACTTTGTCTCCTAAAAATGTCTAACAAAAAAGTTGGAAGATGGTTTTGTGAGGATCTAAACTCATCTTCCACTTGATAAAACAGCAAGTAATGGGTAAATATTAGCCCGAAGTTTTCAATGCGATGCTGTTGCTTTAGTAATGCTTTCTTTGGTTCTGGTTATATAAGGTTAATATAATAAAAACTAGAGAAAAAATATTAAAAACAGTAGTCTTTAAGATTAAGTGCTAGCAATACTTAGCAGATGTTTTGAATTTTACTATAGCTTTTTTAAAAAATCTATATTTTATGCCCTTTAAAAATATAGAGGGAACTTTAAAAACCTCCCTGAAGCTGTAAATAAGTTCCTGAGATGATTTTACAAATTAAAGTATATAAATAATAATTTCATTTCTTGAAATTACATTTTTTCAGTCCAATTTATGTTGATATCACCCTGTCAATGTTCAAAGAAGGAAAAATCTGCATGTGTTAAATGTCTACCTGTCATACCAGTCTTGATCACTTCTTCAGCAGAGCAGCAAATGGAAAGGAAGGAAAATTACTATCCTCCTCCTTCTGTTGCTTTTCTTTATGGATTCTACTATTCTGTCATCTGAAAATGGTATCCATATTTTACACTAAGAGTTTTCATACAGAAACTGCATTGTGACATGAATACACTTTTAAACAATGGAAAATTTGAGTTTTGTATCATACATTTGGCTGCTGCTGACCAATGTTGAAATTATGACAGTATTTATAATAGTCATTTCATAGCAGTTGTTACACCAAATTGCAGGAAACTGTCTCTTCAGGGTCAAAAGACATTGCATAAATCATTGCATCTATACATCTGTATTCTGTAAGAAAATATAGGGATCTATGTTTGAAGAGTCTACCCAAGGTTAACTTGTAGGTTGGAAAACTTCGTGATAGCCTGAAATGTATTCCAAAGCTTCAACAAAGGGAAAATGAGAGAAACAAGGGAAACCTTTTTTAGCCCTTTCTTCCCTTCTAACACATAACAGTGATGACAGTAGCCACATTTTCCACTAGTCTGGAAATTTTGGTTATGTGGCTAGTGCTACTGCTGCATCTAGGATTTCACTAAACAAACATATATAGATATTGCTGTCAAAGAAATTTAATCAATTACCAATTTTAAGATCATTGAAATTGAGCTCAACTAAGGAAATAATGGCTAGTGTAGTATTCACAGACTACACTTTCCCACTCTTCATATTGCATATGTGTATGCCTCTGTGTGTTTAAGGAATATTTCAGTAAATAATTAGCTACCGGGAATAGCTCCTTTTAAGTAATTTTGTTTATTAATTTATTTATTCATACCCAGTAACATACTCCAACTCTGCAATAAAGTTGTACTGTGACATTTTATAAGTAAATGTTGGAGTTTGGTAATTATAAGTATGCTCGCTGTTGTACTGCGACATTTTACAAGTAAATATCGGAGTTTGGTAATTATAAGTGTGCTTGCTTTTTGATGAATTTGCAAATTAGTAAAAATTTATATGTAATATTTCTGCATAAGCTTTTAAATTCTTTATTGTCTTTTTTTTACTTTCTAGATCAGCTTATGTGCAAGATTTTTAAATGATTGGTAATAATAATGAATCCGTGAGAATGTTCTTGACAAGTAAACTTTTGTTTACTTGGCTTCAAAATCACTTTGTAAATGATAGTTCCATCACTGGAAGTGATCAACTGATATTTGTTGCTTTTTAAAGGTACTGAGTAATTCTAGGGATTAAATTAGGCTAAGCTAATCCTGACTTTTACCCTTCAGGAATTTGCTACCTAGACAGAATACATTTATTGTATGCAGAATTACAAAAGGGCAGATAGATATACGATCTACTATATTGAGGATTGTGTAGTCTCTAATCAATAGGCCAGAAAATTGTCTGTGTTTTGAGTTACCTGGTGAGAGAGTCAAGAAGCAAAGTGATAAGCATACAAAAGGGTACTGCATCTGTAAAGTACATACTTCCTCATGTAACAAATCAACAATCTCTCCAAAAGATTACATAAAAATAGTTTACTTCTATATCTGTTTCAATCCAATTAAACACTTTTGATGTAATTCAAGAATTCTGAAATGTATATTTGAAAAGTAATTATCTTGTATTTATCAGATGCATTATAGTAAAGCTTCTGGTGCTGTTTAAATGATACCATCAATGGAAACATGTGTTAATGATGAGCTTATATTTAAATCGTGTTTTTGGGTTTTTAAAACTGCACAAATCTTTGGAAGTTTGAAGTCCATACCTGCATTAGCAGCTGCATCTCCAAAGAAAAAACCATATCCTAATTGTAACATTTGCCTAACCCAACTGAAAAAAGTACCAAGGAGAAAAAGTGCAACAGTTAATAATAACAGCCAATAATCATTGACTTTCTCACTGAATACTCTTGTCAACCATAAGAGGTATAAACTATTATTATTCCTAATAAACAATGAGAAAACTAAGGTTCCAAGATGTTAAATAATATGCTTGAGTTCACACAGCTAGTAAGCACTGGTGCTCTTAAACCCACAATATTCACCTCTATAACATATGGCTTCTAGCTATCATTAGAGATACCTTAAAATTAAAACGAATGTAACCTTGATAACAAATGCAACAGAGTTGCATAAACAATTTTATTTGGTGAGAAATTTTTAATTAACAATAGAGTAATAGAATGATTTATACTCCTTTGGGTTTATATCCAGTAATGGGATTGCTGGATTGAATGGTATTTCTGTCTTTATGTCTTTGAGGAATCACCACACTGCCTCCCACAATGGCTGAACTAATTTATACTACCACCAATGGTGCATAAACATTTCTTTTTCTCCACAACCTTACCCGTATCTGTTTTTTGACTTTTTAAAAATAGCCATTCTGACATTCTGACTGGTGTGAGATGGTGTCTCATTTTGATTTGCATTTCTCTGACGATCAGTGATATTGAGCTTTTGTCACATGCTCATTGGCCACGTATATGTTTTCTTTTAAAAAGAGTCTCTTCGGCTGGGCACGGTGACTCATGCCTATAACCCCAGCACTTTGGGAGGCCAAGGTGGGCGGATCACCTGATGTCAGGAGTTGGAGACCAGCCTGGCCAACATGGTGAAACCCGGTCTCTACAAAAGTACAAAAATTAGCCGAGAATGATGGCAGATGCCTGTAATCCCAGCTACTTTGGAAGCTGAGGTGGAAGAATCACTTGAACCTGGGAGGTGGAGGTTGCAGCGAGCCAAGATCGCACTACTGCACTCCAGCCTGGGAGACAAGAGGAAACTCTGTCTCAAAAAAAAAAAAAAGAAAGAAAAGAAAAAAGAAAAGTGTCTCTTTATGTCCTTTGCCCACTTTTTTATAAGGTTGTTTGTTTTTCTTTTATAAATTTGTTTACATTCCTTATAAATGCTGATATTAGACCTTTGTCAGACGCATAGTTTGTAAAAATTTTCTCCCGTACTGTAGGTTGTCTGTTTAACCTGTTAGTTTCTTTTGCTGTTCAGAAGCTCTTTAGTTTAATTAGATCCCATTTGTCAATTTTTGCTTTTGCTGCCATTGCTTTTGTCATCTTATTATGAAATCTTTGCCCATGCCTGTGTCCAGAATGGTAGTGCCTAGGTTGTCTTCCAGGATTTTTATAGTTTTGTGTTTTACATTTAAATCTTTAATCCATCTTGAGTTAATTTTTGTATATGTGTAAAGAAGGGGTCTAGTTTCATCTTCTGCGTATAGCTAGCCAGTTATCCAAGCACACATGCACACATATGTTCATTGAAGCACTATTCACAATAGCGAAGACATGGAATCAACCTAAATGCCCATCAGTGATAGACTACATAAATGTTTGAAATGCTTGTTCCCTGGTGCCATAAAGAAATAGCACTTGAACATAAATTTAATTTCCTCAGCAAGGCCTTTTTTTTTTTTTTTTTTTTTTTTTTTTTTTTACTTTCTGCAGAAAGGGTACACTCGCCAGCAGTTTTGTCATGAGAGTACACCGAACAAAGGAGACAGGGTCATTTATAACCTTAGGAATCCACCCTACTGCTGTGTCTGATTTCCATTGGATGGAACAGGACCTCACATTTTGTATTTGTCCCAACTGGCTAGCAACTTAGAACTTTTTAAAAGAGGAAAAGGAAGAGGAGAACAAAGTAAGGTGGAAGTAACTTGTGGAATGCTGAGAAAGGTAAAAATACATTCACATAAGGAAGAGGAACAGGCTATGACCTAATGCTTGCTTGGACAAGTATAAGTGTTTGCCAGGGCAAATATTTAGGCTAAATTTTGGGAGCTAAGAACATAACGTACATTGATTTCTTTATTAAGGCTGGCAGTTATTTAAGAATGTTAGCACATGTCTTTGAATAAATTTTGCTTCTAAGAGAAGTTACTATTTATTCCTACTTAGATGGGGAGGAAAGTCTTTGAAGAGGAACCTCTACTTTACTTTTTACATAAAGAAACTGTGGTAAATACACACCATAAAATACTATGCAGCCATAAAAAAAATGAGATCAGGTCCTTTGCAGGGACATGGATGGAGGTGGAGGCCATTATCCTTAGCAAATTAACACAGAAACAAAAAACCAAATTCATGTGTTCTTACTTATAAGTGGGAGCTAAATGATGAGAACACATGGACACATATATGGGAAAGACACACACTGGGGCCTTTGGAGGATGGAGGAGAAGAGGAGGGAGAGGATCAGAAAAAATAACTAACGGGTATTAGCTTAATGCCTGGGTGATGAAATAATCTGTACAAGAAACCCCCATGACAAAAATTTACATATGTAACAAACCTGCACTCATACCGGTGAACTTAAAAGAAAAAAAAAAAAGAGTAATGGTTTTGAGGACTAAGCTCTGATTTTCTTTTTTAAATTTTATTTTGCCCAAATTCCTATCTAAGGGGTCTAGAGAGTCAGGCCCTACAAACCATAAATTCTCATCAGATAGTGTCAGGCCTCTGAGCGCAGGCCTGCACATATACATCCAGATGGCCTCAAGCAAGTGAAGAATCACAAAAGAAGTGAAAATGGCCAGTTCCTGCCTTAATTGATGACATTACCTTGTGAAATTCCTTCTCCTGGCTCAGAAGCTCCCCCACTGAACACCTTGTGACTCCCACCCCTGCCCACCAGAGAACAACCCCCTTTGACTGTAATTTTCCACTACCTACCCAAATCCTATAAAATGGCCCCACCCCATCTCCCTTCGCTGACTCTCTTTTCGGAGTCAGCCCGCCTGCACCCAGGTGACTAAAAACCTTTATTGCTCACACAAAGCCTGTTTGATGGTCTCTTCACATGGACACGTGTGACAAATAGGTTTTATTTAACCTTATATATCATGACTTACTCTCCAGTCTGACTGTGGAATGACATTATGTGACAAAGAAGAAAGTCAAAATATTTTACCTCAAAACATGTTTCTTTGCCATATCTTGAAATGGCCCCACAAAGCTGTCCTTTGTGGGAGAAAATTTGCATCTGTAAAAAATCTCTATTAACATAGCTAGATCTTTTTCTTTTTAAGAGATTAACTAAGAGCCTACCACCTTTTAAAGATCTGAATAGAAAACATTTGTCATCTATTGTCTCTAAGGTCAGCCACCATAAGACTTCCAAAGAACCTTGTTCTCCACAATGTTTTATCTTAACCTGAACATTTCCTTTCTATTGATCCCAGGTCTTTAGACAAACTCAACCAACTGTCAACCAGAAAATGTTTAAATGTAGCCTGGAAGCCCCCACTTTGAGTTGTCCCACCTTTCTGGATCAAACCAATGTATTTCTTAAATGTATTTGATTGATGTCTCATGCTTCTCTAAAATGTATAAAACCAAGCCACACCCTGACCACCTTGGGCATGTGTTCTCAGGACCTCCTGAGGGCTGTGTCATGGGCCATGGTCACTCATATTTGGCTCAGAATAAATCTCTTCAAATATTTACAGAGTTTGACTCTTTTTCTTGACAATAATTTGGTGCCCCAAAAACGTAGGGCTTCAGAGAAGACTCAGGACCCAGAAGGAATTGCCTGAAACCAGAGCTATGGTACCAGCTGGGGTCCATTGAAGCCTGACTGAGTTCGAGATTCTCCTCCAGTGAAAATGGTAAGTTCTCCTGAGCCCTGGACCTCCTGTTTTGGTTGAAGGTCTTTGATTTATTCTGAGCTGGTTTTTTTTCCTAGGAAGTTGTTGTTTAAGGGTCCTAATTCTAGTTCAGAGATGCATTCTAAAGGGTTTTCTCTATTGCTTTTCCTCTCAGAATTAATTTCAATTTGGATTGTCTGTGTGCATTTTCGTGAGGAACTGAGCTGTCATTTTCATAGATAAATAAGAGACTGAGTATTTTTTTTTTCAGCTCTGAAGAGAAAGGGCATTTGCTCCTCTCAGCCAAAAAGTGCTCCTGGGTGACAGGGGGTGCCTCATAGGAGTGCCTGGGGAGTTGACCCCCATTACGTGCAGCAGCCCTGCAGGGAAATTCCCAGCAAAAATTAATTTTAAGAATAGCTAATACAGGAAACATATCAATCCACCACACAGAAACCTTAGGCCACAGCTCAGTTCCTCCTTTTAAGAAAAGAAAATGTGGGAAAGAAACAATCAAGAATAAAGAGAAAACAAGGAGAATGACCCCCTTTCAAGCACTCTGTAAGTTTTATGGCACATTTAATTGCCAGAGTTTATGGAAAATTGAAGTAATTATGGTCTTTGTGCATATTTACATTGAGGAAAAAGAGCCCTAAAGTCGACTTGGAAACTATAGAGTTCCTAAGTTCTCTTTAACAATTTTCTTTTCTTCCTGCTTGAAATCTGCTGTCACTTTTCTACCGAGATAAAAACCACCATTTGGAGCTAACATGTTTTGTTTGTAAGCTGGTGAATTTAAACTTATCTCATGGCTAAAGTACTAAAGTAATGCTATAGATCTTTGTGTGTGTATATTTAAAAGGCCTTTATAAATTCTATAATTTTATGTTTTATTAGCAGTTAAATTCATTTTAATTTCCCTAACACACCAAACTTTTCTCCCCATATGATGTAAATTTTACTATCTGATCCTTACAAATTGAGTTGTTTCCTTTAATATGCAAATTTAGGGCTAGTTAGCTGACAACTCCCTAGGGTGATGCAACATGTTATCAAGAATTTGAAAGTCTAAAATAGAAAAAAAAAAATAAAAAAGGAAAAAGGAAGTCTGTTTGAATCTATAAAATGTACTTTTATCAGCATGCCTAAATACGTCTGTGTATTTATGTGTTGTGTATGCAAAGTTTTACTACTAAAAATATATAAAGAGCTCTAGTTAATTGGATTGAAAATATATAAGAACACTTAAATCAGATAATTAAAAGACTAAATGCTTTTTCAGGTTCCCATCACTTAAGTATAATTTTTAATAAATAAGGTGGTTTTAAAATTATTGGTAAAATAGTACTAGCAATGTCTTAAACATTGTAAGCATTTTGTTAGCATTTTTTTCAATCAAATTGTTTCACGTTTATTCCTGCAGAATACTATAAAATTTGCCATAAGGGTTATAACTGTAAGACCCAGCCCAAGACAGGATAATCTTTGCTTGTGTATGCTTATGAAATATTTTTGGCCTAGTGAAAACAGCTAAATCCTAAGTTATCGGTATAAATAGCTTTAAAATTAACCATACATTTTATTACTTAGGTAAATACCTGAAATTCACAGGTATAAAAATGATTAATAGAAAAATAACTTTGAATATTTGACTATCATGGTTTTTGTAAATAATATACGTAAACTATTAATCAGATAAATGAAATGAAATAAATGCTTGTAAACAGACTTGTCATAATTTAGGATTTAAGGTTATTATTTGATATTAACTATCTTGGTAATTTCCAATTTCAGAATTATAGGAAAAATTTTTTTAATGTTCTTATTAAAGGTGAAATATCTTTGTCTAATTCAAATCTTATTTAAGGGTATTTATAAAACAAGGTAAAGGAATCAGGAAATAAGAGATGTAAAGAAAGTTAAAGATATAAAGAGGTATTTTTGGTAAAGAAAGTAAAAAGGAAAGTGATTTTATATAAGAAAGAATCATGTGTGGTGAATTTCTGCCCTGAAATCAATGACTGGGTTGTTCAAGAAAGAGTAATGTTTAGGGTAAAGCAGAAAGTTTAACTATGTTATAAGTGGTCTATGAAAGTTGTAATAAGGTTAATAAAAGTGAATTTTTAAAGGGATTATATAACTCAGTTGGATATAATTAAAGGGAAATTACAATAATCTTTCTAGAGATGGGTCTTTAATATTAAAATATGCACCAATACAGAACTAAATAATTGGTTAAAACAAGATTTTATTACAAATATTGACTTACTTTTAATGCAAGACATTTTTAAATTTTTAACTTCTCTAATCTATCTCTTCAACATTCTTCAGATTGATTTTTTTTTTTTTTTTTTTGAGACGGAGTCTTGCTCTGTTGCCCAGGCTGGAGTGCAATGGCACTATCTCAGCTCACTGTAACCTCTGCCTCTCAGGTTCAAGCAATCCTTCTGCCTCAGACTCCCAAGTAGCTGGGATTACAGGCACGCACCATCATGGCTGACTAATTTTTTGTATTTTTAGTAGAGATGGGGTTTCACCAGTTGGCCAGGCAGGTCTCAAACTCCTGACCTCAGGTGATCTGGCCGTCTCGGCCTCCCAAACTACTGGGATTACAAGCAAGAGCCACCGCACCTGGTCCAGATTGATATCTTAAAAGTGCCACTCTTTCTCTTTTAAAAAGGCCTTGAATGATGGCTCTCTCCTTCAATTTTGTTGGCTTCTATAAGTTTTACTAATTATCTAAAGTAAGGGAGAAACATTTTTTTGAAAACAGGCAAAGTATCTTTTGAACATGGCTTTTATTCTACATGCCTTTTACAGCTCTATCTTTACATGTGTCCTGTGGATGTGATATTTCACTACCAAAATACATGAAAGAGCTCTAATTGTAGCAGGACAAGCTGCAGATAAAACCCCTCAGACACAGAGTTAAAGAAGGAAGGGCTTTATTTGGCCGGGAACTTCGGCAAGACTCATGTCTCCAACAACCGAGCTCCCTGAGTAAGCAATTCCTGTCCCTTTTAAGGGCTCACAATTCTAACTGGGTCCACGTGAGAGGGTTGTGATTGATTGAGCAAGCAGGGGTACGTGACTGGGGGCTGCATGCACCAGTAATTAGAATGGAACAGAACAGGACAGGGATTTTCACAGTGCTTTTCTATACAATGTCTGTAATCTATAGATAACATAACCAATTAGGACAGTGGTGGATCTTTAACCAGGCCCAGGGTGTGGTGCCCGGCTGTCTGCCTGTGGATTTCTTTTTTTTGTTATTATTATTATTATTTAATTTTATTATTATTATACTTTAAGTTTTAGGGTACATGTGCACAATGTGCAGGTTTGTTATATATGTATACATGGGCCATGTTGGTGTGCTGCACCCATTAACTCGTCATTTAGCATTAGGTATATCTCCTAATGCTATGCCTCCCACCCCACCCCACAACAGGCCCCGGTGTGTGATGTTCCCCTTCCTGTGTCCATGTGTTCTCATTTTTCAATTCCCAACTATGAGTAAGAACATGCGGTGTTTGGTTTGTTGTCCTTGCGATAGTTTGCTGAGAATGATCGTTTCCAGCTTCATCCATGTCCCTACAAAGGACATGAACTCATCATTTTTTATGGCTGCATAGTATTCCATGGTGTATATGTGCCACATTTTCTTAATCTGGTCTATCATTGTTGGACATTTGGGTTGGTTCCAAGACTTTGCTATTATGAATAGTGCTGCAATAAACATATGTGTGCATGTGTCTTTATAGCAGCATGATCTATAATCCTTTGGGTATATACCCAGTAATGTGATGGCTGGGTCAAATGGCATTTCTAGTTCTAGATCCTTGAGGAATTGCCACACTGACTTCCACAATGGTTGAACTAGTTTACAGTCCCACCAACAGTGTAAAAGTGTTCCTATTTCTCCACATCCTCTCCAGCACCTGTTGTTTCCTGACTTTTTAATGATCGCCATTCTAACTGGTGTGAGATGGTATCTCATTGTGGTTTTGATTTGCATTTCTCTGATGGCCAGTGATGATGAGCATTTTTTATGTGTTTTTTGGCTGCATAAATGATTTCTTTTGAGAAGTGTCTGTTCATATCCTTTGCCCACTTTTTGATGGGGCTGTTTGTTTTTTTCATGTGAATTTGTTTGAGTTCATTGTAGATTCTGGATATTAGCCCTTTGTCAGATGAGTAGGTTGCAAAAATTTACTCCCATTCTGTAGGTTGCCTGTTTACTCTGTTGGTAGTTTCTTTTGCTGTGCAGAAGCTCTTTAGTTTAATTAGATCCCATTTGTCAATTTTGGCTTTTGTTGCCATTGCTTTTGGTGTTTGAGACATGAAGTCCTTGCCCATGCCTATGTCCTGAATGGTATTGCCTAGGTTTTCTTCTAGGGTTTTTATGGTTTTAGGTCTAACATGTAAGTCTTTAATCCATCTTGAATTAATTTTTGTATAAGGTGTAAGGAAGGGATCCAGTTTCAGCTTTCTCCATATGGCTAGCCAGTTTTCCCAGCACCATTTATTAAATAGGGAATCCTTTCCCCATTGCTTGTTTTTGTCAGGTTTGTCAAAGATCAGATAGTTGTAGATATGTGGCATTATTTCTGAGGGCTCTGTTCTGTTCCATTAGTCTATATCTCTGTTTTGGTACCAGTATCATGCTGTTTTGGTTACTGTAGCCTTGTAGTATAGTCTGAAGTCAGGTAGCATGATGCCTCTGGCTTTGTTCTATTGGCTTAGGATTGACTTGGCAATGTGGGCTCTTTTTTGGTTCCATATGAACTTTAAAGTAGTTTTTTCCAATTCTGTGAAGAAAGTCATTGGTAGCTTGATGGGGATGGCATTAAATCTATAAATTACCTTGGGCAGTATGGCCATTTTCACGATATTGATTCTTCCTACCCATGAGCATGGAATGTTCTTCCATTTGTTTGTGTCCTCTTTTATTTCCTTGAGCAGTGGTTTGTAGTTCTCCTTGAAGAGGTCCTTCACATCCCTTGTAAGTTGGATTCCTAGGTATTTTATTCTCTTTGTAGCAATTGTGAATGGGAGTTCACTCATGATTTGGCTCTCTGTTTGTCTGTTATTGATGTATAAGAATGCTTGTGATTTTTGTACATCGATTTTGTATCCTGAGACTTTGCTGAAGTTGCTAATCAGCTTAAGGAGATTTTGGGCTGAGATGATGGGGTTTTCTAAATATACAATCATGTCATCTGCAAACAGGGACAATTTGACTTCCTCTTTTCCTAATTGAATGCCCTTTATTTCCTTCTCCTGCCTGATTGCCCTGGCCAAAACTTCCAACACTATGTTGAATAGGAGTAGTGAGAGAGGGCATCCCTGTCTTGTGCCAGTTTTCAAAGGGAATGCTTCCAGTTTTTGCCCATTCAGTATGATATTGGCTGTGGGTTTGTCATAGTGGATTTCATTTCTGCCTTTTAGTTTTTATTTCTTCTTTCTTTGGAGGCAGAAATTGGGCATAAGACAGTATGAGGGGTGGTCACCTCCCTTATTCCCCACCTTTGAGAATCTCACTCAATTGTGGGAGCTCTCACTTTCATTCTTACTACCCAAGTCTTCTTGCAAGACAGATCGATAGTGAGTCATACAGTACACTTGTGCTGAAGCATTTTGGTGAACTAAGGTAGGGAAGCTTTTTATCATTTGAAGAAGTACAGGTAGCAAACAAGGGAGCAGTAAGCAGGTTTCTATTACTATTATAACTCCTATTATAAGAGTTTTAAATCTTTTTAGCACTGGGAACCATTTTCAAAACATGGCCCCAGGATCAAATCCATGCCGCACTTGCACGGGCACATGTGCCAGTTTTGTCATATTTCTAACTATGTCTTCAACTACTTGCCCTTGATCATCTATGTGTAGACAGCAATTAGTAAGGTTAAATTTTCTACAGACCTCCTCCTTCAGCTGCTGGCAAGTAGTCAAGAGCCAATCTATTTTGATAGATAGCATTTCTCATCTGAGTTTCTTACCAGGCCAGAATAGTCAAGGCTCTGCTGGTCTTATTAGTGATTATTTCTAACACAGCTTGTAACCATATGATTCGGTTGAGCATGTAAATGGGGGTCGGGTATCCCCACGAGCCATCTTGTGCCCAAGTAGCAGGCCCATAATATTGTATGATTCTCTCAGGGGGCCATTTATTATCTTTCCTATTTTTTGTAGCTATGCTTCTCTTTTCATGGGAATCACATACAGGGAAGCCCAGGGGTTCGCCTGTCTTTATGGGCAGTAGCAAGAAAGATGGTTTAATAGTGCCAATAACACAACTACCTGCCCACTGGTTGGGCAATTTGGCATAAGGTCTATGCCCACATATCCAGTACAATCCAGTGGGGGCTGTCCAGTCCTGGTGGGACTCTGGGTGGGTCCACATGGTTTGCAACTTTGGGAATTTACTAAATGGATTTTTTTTAGTATGGTTTGAACTCCACTAGGTGGCTGTTTTTGTAATATTATTATACAGTTTTTTGCCCAAGGCATGTGAGTCTTCCCACAGGAAGGGTGAAATCCTTTCCCACTCTTGCTATACAGTATTGTCTAATGATGGAGGCTTTTAGGACCCAGATTCTCAAAAGAATCAGGGTGATTCTTTTGAGCCAGGAATTCACCAGGAACTGGGTCTGTAGGTACTAATTTTTGGGCTTCCCATGGCCATTGATCTCCCATTACAGTTCCTCTACATACATAACATGAAGTGACATTGAGAGACTGGGCTACATGCTCAGCTAATTGCAAAAACAAATTTCTTGTTTCCTGGAATTTCTGGTACTGGCACATTCAGTTTATCATAGAAGATTTGAAATACTGGCTCAGGAGAGCATTTATAAACTTCTCCTCAAACCATGATATTTACTCGAGGATCCAGTCCAGCCCCATCGATTCCTAGGGTTACATGCTCCCCTTTTTTCCAGAGAGGATCAAGGGGGTTGGTTATTACTAGTTCTAAGGGGTTACACTGAGCACTGGTACAGGAAGGGCCACTTTTCCCTTTCTGAAGGTGGACAGGATTCTTTTCATTTTTTATCCAAGTAGCCTAAATGACACAAGACCAGTATCCACATTTATTTCCACACAGTCCTAATTCATGACAAATGTACTTATTTTCTGCCATATAGCCTCTTTTTTAATTAAGAAAACCATATCCTATTTCTAACTTATTACTATTAATAACAGCACAGGCATCAAATTTCAAGATGACTGGTTTGGGCACCCCTTTTTCTTCTGTTTTGGCTAACACTTTACACGTATCATTTATGAGCCCCCAGCAGTCCTCAGTCCTTAATCTTATTTTAAAAACTGTGGTCATGGGAGGCTCAGATAGGCCATAACACACATCAGGTTGGTCATTTCCTGGGCTACATACCTTGTATAGAATAAAATTATACAAACAAGTTTTTTTTAGAGTTCCAGTACACTTATAATAACCATAAAATAATAGGACTATAGCAACTTTTTGTCCCACCTCAGTGACTTGATGTATACACTGGGAATAGTCCTCAGTCTGAAGAAGGTCAGTTGAAGTCCTTACTGAAAAAGTTCAAATTTTAAGGAAAATGAGTCCCGTGATGAGTTTTCTCATGCTTTGGCCATGCGTGGACCAATCAGCTTCTGGGTGTGACTGGAGCAGGGCTTGTTGTCTTCTTCAGAGTCACTTTGCAGAGGTTGGCGAAGCTGCTCCCGTCCATGTACTGCTCACAGTCTACTGAGTTCAACGATGGTCTCGGAGGTTGGGCCTGCTAGAATAAACTGAGTCCAACACCTCTACACAGTTATGTTCAACTGGACTCTCTGATACCAGCAGCAAGGTGGCAGGGTTTAGGGTGTTGCAAACTTCAATGGTTATGCAGGGATTTTCACATAGCAAGCTTTGGTACTTGGTTAATCTAGCATTTGTTAACCAATGATGTCCTTTGGTAATCATTGAAATTACCACAGCATAGGAGGCCTTTATATTCAGGTCTTGCCCAAGGGTTAGTTTATCTGCTTCTTGTGCTAACAGGGCCTTTGCTGCCAGGGCCCTTAGACATGGGGGCCAGGCTTTGGAAACCCCATCTAGTTGTTTTGAGAGATAGGCCACTGGCCTTGGCCAGGGCCTCACAGTCTGGGTTAAAACTCCAACTGTCATTTTCTTTCTTTCTGACACATAGGGTGTAAAGGGTTTTGTCAGGTCGGGTAGCCCCAGGGCTGGGGCCAACATGAGTTTTTCTTTTAACTCATGAAAAGCTTGTTGCTGTTGGTTGTAATAGATGTATTATCCAGTCTATATTTTTATTAACTGTCACCCACCAAAATATTGACTAAAATCCTGCTGCTATTTGATTTCAAGCTTTAAATTGATCTGGTATTCTCCATGGGACTCCAATTGTGTCTAAGTGGACGTGAGAGTCAAAAGATCCATAAGGGGCTTCTCTCGCTTTATGATGTCTTATTTTTCCTCCCTCTGGTTGATGAAATGCCAGGGTAAAAGAGATAGCCAATTGGACTAAAGTATAAGTGCCACTCCAGTTATTCAGCAGAGTGTCCAGTAAAGGTCCACCACAATACCACCACACATCCACTCGGGGATGAACAGGGGCTGACTGATTGATAAGCTCTAGAAAATTCTTAAGCTCACTGCGTGACCTCAGGTCTCCAAGGAACTCTAAGTTTCCTCCCTGTCATGAGAGACATGAAGTGAACTTAGTGTTGGGAGACGGAAGCTGGATGGCCCTTGGGGGCTGACCCACAGGATGCTGGACTTCGGGATATAGCAGAGAGAGAGCTTGGCATGACTTGTTACTCCAGGCTGTAGAATCCTGGAAAAGAGCTACCACGCAGCCCACGCCTGGTCAACTGGAGGACCACCCTAGTGGAAAGGGGACAATCTAGGCCTCTAGCCTGCTGTGCGCACAAGCATAACAGCTCCTTTTGTTTAATGTGTGGATGGAATATTTGATCCATTCCAACCAGGCATTTGAAACTTGGCATCTTCTCTTTATTGTCAAAGTTTGTTTTAAGTCTTTAACTTCTATGATCCTCCAGTAAAATGAATGTATGATTTTAGGAAATTATAAAAACCAGTTAGGGCAGTCCAACCTTGCTCTTTAGTGCTCCACAGAACGTTGGACCAACTATGGCATAAAAGCTCTACATTGGGGGGCAAGACTCACTCCTGGTTGACACTGGAGTCTTTATCAAAATTTCCCCAGATTAAATGGTCCTAATTTACTAATGCCCAGTCTGAGGAGAGTCAGGAGGGACAGAGGTACTTTTTTGAAGTAGAGAGCTGTCTTTGACTTGGCAAGTCCCCACAGGGTGTAACAGGCAAGCATTAAATGCAATAGTTTGAGGCAAAATTGACTTCATTATGTTAATAACTAGATGGTCAGCAATAGAGCGAGGAGAGAAGAAAGAGTAATAGAATAGATGAAAGAGTTAAATTTTTCTTAGCTTTAGTTTGGTACGGTTTTCCCCTGGGACTATGGCCCAGGACACTGGAGGGGATGGTGCTTTCTTGACTCGGTTGTGATGAGTCTATCCTTTTTTCACTGTACAAACAGCAGTCTCTTTAGTAGCACAAGGTAGGGTCCTTCCTAGGCTGGCTCGAGTTTCCTTTCTTTTCACCCTCTGATGAGAACATGATCTTCAGGCTGGTGCTGGTTTACTGGAAATTCTAGAGGTGGTACACGTGCTAAAGGACTTTTAGTTTTGAGGGAAAGGAAAGTGGAAGATAAACCAAGTATATAATTTTTAAGAAATTGACTTTCTGTTTTAAGTGTGGGAGCATCAGCAGTGGACTTTATAGTCCTTGGTGCCTTTCTACTGAGAAATTTCCTTTAGCACCTATTTTTTATTAGTTTTTGGACCAAAGAAGCCAAACACCATTTTATATTTGACAATGCTTCTTGTATGATTTTTATACCAGATAAGCTAAATTTTACCTTTATATTACTGTGCTATTAATGTTAAACTTAGTTTTAAAAAAATTTGTATACATATTTATTCAATTTTTAATGTTGGACCATAAGGTAAGATTTTTATAGACTCTTTTTAACCTTTTATAATCTTTTTTAAAGAGCAGGTTAGTGCTTTAAGAAAAACCTGTTGTGTTTTTACTTTCATGTCCAGTTCACAGAAAAACTGGATGATACTGCTTTAACTTTAGCTAATATGTTTACACACAGAATTTCCTTTATAATTAACATTTTAAAACTTGCTTAAACCTTCAAAACAATATTTTTTAACCTTTTAATGTAGATAAAAATCCACATTCTTATGCCTCCTTATAATCCTTTTACCAAAGGTATATTTTACTTTCCTTATACACTTTGCACATAAACTGTTTCTTCAATATTACTCAGGAGGCCTTATTACTTTTAAATTATACAACATTTCTTGCATACTTTTTTTATAACTTTTTTCTCTTTCACGACTTTCGCAGACAATTCTTCGACATACCTTAACTTTCTGACTTATTACAAACATTTCTTTCTTTAAACAACCAGTTAATTTATTTCAGGACAAGAATTTACCATATAACACTCTTTTTACATAAATTCTACCCCCTCTTCCCCCTCTTTTTTTTTCGAAGATGATAACCATTCTTTTCCAAAGCGAACTTCCTTTATGTCTGTGGACTAGGCTGTCTAAGGCCACAAGATTAGAAGTTACTATAATACTTGTTACACTGTTAACTTTTAGCAAACTTTACTTTTGTTGAAAACTTGTAAGTTTGGGATTTCAATTATCCTTTGCTATTAATAAGAACTTGTTTAGTCCAAATTAACTTAGAATTGGTATAGATGGCTTTTTTTCCCCCTTCAATTACCCGGGAGGAACCATAGATCATCCTGTCCTGAAGTGAGTTCCTCCTAGGTCTGGTCGGACCTTTGTATGGTAATTAAGATTTAGATCCCCTGTTAGGAAAACTGCTGGGTTAAAAGAATTTTCAGTGGTTAATGTTAAATCATCCTTTTCTTTTCTTTTCTTTTCTTTTTTAGGATACTTCTGAACTGGTGAGGTGTGCTCACAATGAGGTTTCCTCTAAAAGTTATTTTTTTTACTTTCTTCTGTTAGCAAAGCTGTTGGCGCTACAGATTGAATGCATCTGGGCCATCCGCAGGTTACTGGGTTAAAGATTTTTGATAGGAAGGTCTCAGTGCTTTCGGATATGCCCTTGTTTACACTGACAACAAAGTGGTATTAGAGTGTTACAGGGTTATGGAGAATACCTCTAATTATCAATTATAGGTTTTAAATTTACCTTGGCTTTTAAAGGAATAGGGTACACTGTTTTTTTTCTTAACTACTTGTATATTTCTCTCTTTCTTTCTCTCTTTGACTTTCTGTCTCTCTCTGACTTTCCTTTTGCCTCTGTCTCTTCCTCTCTCTCTGCCTCTCTCTCTCTCTCTTCTTGACTCCCTCTTTGTCTCTCTGTCTCTTCCTCTCTGTCTTTTCCTCTCTGTCTTTGCCTCCTTTTCTCTCTGTCTCTTTCCTCTCTCTGTCTCTCTGCTGGTCTTTCTTTGCCTCTGCCAGCCGCTGATGCTGCTGTTCTCTCAACCACTGTGTGTGTGGGGGTTCTAAAACTAGCTGTAACCAAGTGTCTATGTATGGGAACTGGTCTGGGTACCCTGGCTTATGGGTTACCTTGTGCCATACCTTTGAAACAAGGGACCTGTCCAGCCTTCCTTCTGATGGCCAACCCACCTCTAATGCCGGCCAGTCTATTTCACACAAAGTTCTAAATTTTCCTGGTGTCATAGTAACATCATAATCTCCCTTAAATCCTTTCTTGAAATTTTTCAACATAGTTCCTAGTGGAGTGGGCTTACTTTGTGCCTGACCCATGCTTCTTCGAGACAAAACACCAGGCTCACAACCACATGCATGCCACAAAACAAAGAACGGGTGAGAAGGGCACACACACACTTTTACAGTTTACATCAAACAAAAACCAAAACCAAAATCAGAGTATCCAGAAATCCAAGCCAGGTCAAAACCAAAACCAAAGTATCAAGCAAACCAAGTCAAGTCAAAAACAAAAACCAAAGTGCCGGTACAGGCACACCATGGGTGATCAGGCCACGCTTCCACTCAAATGGAGTGGGCAGGTTCCAAAGACTAGTCTTACCAAGTTTCAGATGTCTGGACTCCAAGTGCCAGTTCCTTCCCGGTGTTCAGCCACTGCGTTGATCCTCCACGGGGGCCTGCCACGCGCTGCTGTGGCGAGGCGTTCCACCGGGGCAATTGCCTACCTGGGAGCACTCTCAGGATCCGTGTTGCTCAAGCTGGCCCCTGCAGCGATGCTCCACAGGGCAGGCCTAAGCTGCCTAAGAGGCTGCCTCGACCTTCCATTAATCACCTCACTTCCTGGTCAGGGAACCAAGAAATGCAGCAGGACAAGCCACAGACAAAACCCCTCAGACACCGAGTTAAAGAAGGAAGTGCTTTATTTGCCCGGGAGCTTCGGCAAGACTCACGTCTCCAACAACCGAGCTCCCCGAGTGAGCAATTCCTGTCCCTTTTAAGGGCTCACAACTCTAAGGGAGTCCGTGTGAGAGGGTCATGATTGATTGAGCAAGCAGGGGTACATGACTGGGGGCTGCATGCACCAGTAATTAGAACAGAACAGAACAGGATGGAGATTTTCACAGTGCCTTTCTATATAATGTCTGTAATCTATAGATAACATAACCGATTAAGTCAGGGGTGGATCTTTAACCAGGCCCAGGGTGCGGTGCCGGGCTGTCTGCCTGTGGATTTCATTTCTACCTTTTAGTTTTTACTTCTTCTTTCTTTGGAGGCAGAAATTGGGCATAAGACAATATGAGGGGTGGTCTCCTCCCTTACAATCAAGTAACTTTTAAAAAAGTAAGTGCTTATCATATTGGTAGAAGTTAGCTCAGGTGCCTTTTAATTCACATAACCTTGGTAATCTTTGGTAAAATTAATTTGGTAAATTTAATCCTAAAACTCTCCTGTAATTTAAAAGTCTTTGAGTCATATTAAACCCTCAGGATTTTTTCCCACTGGAAATTTGGGTTACTAAAAAGTTAAAATAGTAGAAGCATAAAATATGCCTTTGGTAAAAATTTTATAAATACAAGGATGTCAATTTTCAAAAAAAGTTAGTTTTGTTTCAGTTAAGAAACTAAGAGTTAGGCCGGGCATGGTGGCTCACACCTGTAATCCCAGTACTTTGGGAGGCCGAGTTGGGCGGATTGCCTGAGGTCAGGAGGTCAAGACCAGTTTGGCCAGCATGGTGAAACCCCATCTCCACTAAAAATACAAAAAAGTTAGCTGGACGTGGTGGCATGCGCCTGTAATCCCAGCTACTTGGGAGGCTGAGGCAGGGGAATTGCTTGAACCAGGTGGAGGTTGCAGTGAGCTGAGATCATACCATTGCACTCCAGCCTGGGCAACAGAGCGAGACTTCGTCTCAAAAAAAAAAAAAACAAAAAAACTAAGAGTTGCTTTATAATGAAGGAAATTATACAGATAAAACAAAATAAATAAAAAAAAAAAAAGCCAGGGCAACAAAACTCTGAGCCCTGTGGTTACCAAGACAATAGTCCATATGGGGAAAGGGTAAAACAAAGTAACTATTTAAAACCCAAGTATGTAATGTAAAGGAATTGTTCCATCTTGTAGATTGGTATCATCCAGCTTCTTTAAAAAAAATCTTTACTATAGTGGATTGTAAAAATAACCACTTTAAGAACAAAATTCTTAATTTTAAATGCTACAGAATATAAGACCTTGTTTAGATTAATGCAGGACCCACAGCTCATCACTTAACCATCACTGAGTATATTTGTTCCAAATTAACAGGGGTTTATTCCTAAGAAAGTGATCAGCCTAGTGGGCCAGATAATGCCATTGTAAGGTCTGTTTGCCTTGAGAAGGGGACTGCCCAACTCTCCCTATAAAATACTAAGTGAAGCACCCCAGATTAAGCAGTTGATATGCTTCATATGCAAGCCATGTTGGACTAACTTTATGATAAGTGGGATATCTTCCCACCAAATGTGCCTATTACCCAGGTCATGGTAAATTTTGGGGTTAAGGGAGCCCATTTTACATGGGAGCTCCTCCCACAGAATAATAGGACTGTTTAAGAAGCCTTATCAAATATGCTGTCCCTCATCAGTCTTACAAATGCAACTCCCTGTGGGAACCGAAATCCTTTTCACCAGAAAATGTAAAATGGTCTGGGGGTAAAAAAAGGGTTACTGAGACCGGAACATAAAAACATACAGGCTCATAGAATTATAAAATTAAAATGTTTAAACAAGCTTTATATAAGGTAGTTGTAACCCCTTTACTGAAAGTCTTATAAAAATGGATACTATATCAAACTTACACGGTTAGATGTTTCCCCATCTAGCAGTGTAAACTAAAGGCATATAAATCTGTTCTTTTAAGAAATGTTTAATTGCACATGCTAAATGGAAACTAGTAAGGTGCCTAAGTGCACAGAATATAGGGTAAGAGCTGGAGTGCTAGTTGGGACAAATCCTCCACTGCATAGCCCTTTATGTGGAGCTTTTATCAGGGCTGTTGGCAAAAACTGTGAGTACCTTTCAATGACAATGACTGAACTGGAGAATTTCTACTTAATGGGGCATTTACTGCCTTGCTATGAAATATTAACTGAAGCTATCCCTATGCTAATGAAAATAATGTTTCCCAAAAGAGTGCCATGATAGAATAAAAATGGTTTATATAAAATCTTGCTACCTAATAAGCAGAGAGCCTCTTTCCTAGGACTAATTGTGAGGAGCTGCTAAATTCTACAGTGCCTAATAGCTCTCAGGAGCTGTTTGGTTTGTAAATGGCATTTCAAAGGTATACAAACATCTTGTTTTAAAAGCTGCTACTCTGGTTAAAGAAAGCTCAAGAGAATCTTTTTCTTTTAAGTTATTTGGGTACAGTATGTCTTTGTAAGAAAATTTACCTTTCTGAGCTCTCCAAAATTTAGATTGAAATTTTATGACATTATAGTTGTCTGCATTAGTTCAATAATAGTAAAAACAAACAAGCAAAAAACAAAAAAAACCACAAACACAGGCTGAGCACGTGGCTCACGCCTGTAATCCCAGCACTTTGGGAGGCCGAGGCGGGCAGATCACGAGGTCAGGAGATCGAGACCATCCTGGCTAACACAGTGAAACCCTGTCTCTACTAAAAATACAAAAAATTAGCAGGGCGTGGTGGCATGCGCCTGTAATCCCAGCTATTCAGGAGGCTGAGGCAGGAGAATCTCTTGAACCCGGGAGATGGAGGTTGCAGTCAGCCGATATGGCACCACTGCACTCCAGCCTGGGCGACAGTGCGAGACTCTATCTAAAAAAAACAATTGGAGACACTGGTTATTTTACCAAGACTTAAACTAAAATAGCCTCTTTTTAAGCAAAGTTCCAGCAAAGCCAACTTAAAACGAGTCTATATGGTCAATCAATTCTCAATGTATTTTATGCAAATAATCAGGCAAGCATAATAAGCCTAAAACTTACCTTGCACACAAATTGGCCTTGCTATAATTTTATCTTTACTAAATAAAGGCAGCTAAAAAAATACTTTCAAGGGAAAAACGTAACACTTAATACTGGATTTCAGCCCTAACTTTTTCGA
This sequence comes from Homo sapiens, assembly GCF_000001405.40. NCBI lineage: Eukaryota > Metazoa > Chordata > Mammalia > Primates > Hominidae > Homo > Homo sapiens. The sequence goes on along the minus strand of NC_000023.11, from coordinate 84,941,898 downwards.
GTACAGATTAAATCGTTATAATTTTTCTTCATATTTTTATTTGGTGCCCTAATTGAATAGGTTTCCTTTTCTGTTCTCACATAGCAATTATTCTTTTTTTTTTTTTTTTTTGAGATGAAGCCTCGCTCTTGTCCTCCAGGCTGGAGTGTGATGGTAGGATCTCGGCTCACTGCAACCTCCACCTTCCAGGTTCAAGCAATTCTCCTGCCTCGGCCCCCCTGAGTAACTGGGATTACAGGCGCCTGCCACCACTTCCGGCTAATTTTTGTATTTTTAGTAGAGACGGGGCTTCACCATGTTGGCCAGGCTGGTCCAGAACTCCTGACCTCAGGGGATCCACCCGCCTCGGCCTCCCAAAGTGCTGGGATTACAGGTGCCAGGCCTCAATGACTCTTATAATTGTCAAACTATAAATGTTATCTATCTCTCCTTGTTTTACTTCCAAGGAAACCAAAGCCATGGTATTCTAAAGACCAGAGATATGAATCTCCCTCATTTGGCATCCCCCTGGGCCCAGATCTGTTTCACTGCTAATGCTCTGCTACTAAAACCTTACAAGCTGCCTCGCTGTAGGCCCAGGGACTATCGTGGAAGAGATGGGTGCATAATATTGTAAGGGTCAGTTTTGAGGGACTAAGTCAAGGTCAAACCCTCCAAATCTAAAAGGGGGTACAAAAATGCCTAAATATCTGGTAAAACAAGTTTAATTGCCTTCTAAACTATCATGTGTCACTTTTGCATCCACCACGACCATAAAAATTTTCTGCTTACTATAGAATTAGAAGGAAATATTTACTAACTAGTAAAATAACCGGATAAAAATACCTTGTAACAAAGCCTCCTGGGTATAACACTCCCAATTATGAGTTGTGAAGATAAATATATCTATATCTATATAGCTATAGATATAGATATGTTTAATTATTTTTCAGAACAATGCTAATGTTTTATATAGCTAATTGCTAAAAGTCTGTAACAAAAACCAAGCTTATAGTAGTTCAACACATAGAAGTTAAAAATAAGTGTCTTGTAACTTTGCCTTTTGGTTTTGTTGTTGGCTTTTTTACTTAAAATAATAATTTTAAGAAGTAACAAATGCCTGTCCACATCCATTCCTAGCTGGCCTAGAACAATTAATTGGCTATAAGTCTTTTGACTCTTAAGGCTCTCAGCCATAGGGAGTCCTGCCGAGGGACAAAAAGAAATGACACTGTAGAATGACTTCTCCTGTGACAAAGCCTTCTTTTCTCTCCCAAATACCAGTATATGGTGCAATACAAAAGTGGTGGGAAAAATAGATTTTTCTACTGTTAGCAAGTCTATAACAATTTAGACACTGAGGACCGGGTGTTTCTTGCAATTGATTAATACCCTCCTCAGGTTGTTATACCTATAGAGATAAATTGGCTAGAAGAGACACTAAATTTATTGGATTCTGATTTAATGTCACTCCTACTATCCTCAAATAAGATTTATCATAAAGTTCAAATAACCCTTAACAAGGGGGTTGAACACATTGTGAGTTTGATCCAAGAATATAATAATGCATACAGGGGATTTTCTGGCAGATTGGGTTGTTTACTGCCCTCTGATTCTACCTATAACCTTGGACACTCAATCTTCACTATCTTTATTATATTTCTTACTATATTAGCATTATACAACTCTTGTAAATGTTATGCCAGATACAGCAAAAGGAAAAGGTACAATTAAGGACCCGGATCATGATAGCTCGCAAAATACATCTGGCCCGGGAATTTTTTTTGTTTATTTTTACTAAACCCTAGGCCTGACTCCATCTCACCCCTTAAACAAATGGCTATTATATTGGTTCAGACCATGTCCTCCCCCGTGATCCAAATAGCTAATATTTATTTATTTATTTATTTACTTATCTATTTTTTCATACAGAGTCTCAATCTGTTGCCCAGGCTGGAGTGCAGTGGCACGATCTCGGCTCACTGCAACCTCCGCCTCCCAGGTTCAAGTGATTCTCCTGCCTCAGCCTCCCGAGTAGCTGGGATTACCGGTGCATGCCACCACGCTCTGCTAATTTTTTTGTCTTTTTTTTTTTTTTTTTTTTTTTTAGAGACGGGGTTTCACTGTCTTGGCCAGGCTGGTCTTGAACTCCTGAACTTGTGATCCACATGCCTTGGCCTCCCAAAGTACTGGGATTACAGGTGTAAGCCACCACACCCAGCTTAATATTTAAAAGTATTACCATCAAATCAGAGAGCTCTAGGAACGAGCCTTCCTAGTGCCAGGAAACCTTGCCAGATGGCCAAACCAGACAACTCTAGGAATGAGCCTTCCTAGCACTGTGGGACCTGCTGCTGTTTGTTGGCCTGAACATTTGTCCAAGGGGGGGCACTGAGGACTAAGCTCTGATTTTTTTTTTTTTTTTATCATGCCCAAATTCCTATCTGAGGGGTCTGGAGAGTCATGCCCTGAAAACCACAAATTCTCATCAGATGGGTTTTATTTAACCCTATATGTTGTGACTTACTTTCCAGTCTGACTCTGGCATAACATTATGTGACAAATAAGAAAGTCAAAATATTTTACCTCAAAACATGTTTCTTTGCCATATCTTGAAATGGCCCTGCAAAGCTGTCCTTTGCGGTGGAAAATCTGCATCTGTAAACAATCTCTATTAACATAGCTAGATCTTTTTCTTCCAGGCCCTTCCAATCCTAAAGAGATTAAGCAAGAGTCTACCACCATTAAAAATTGGAATAGGAAACATTTGTCATCTATTGTCTCTAAGGGCAGCCACTGTAAAATTTTAAAAGAACCTTGGTCTCCACAATGTTTTATTTTATCAGGAACATTTCCTTTCTATTGATCCCAGGTCTTTAGACAAACTGGACAAATTGTCAACCAGAAAATGTTTAAATTTACCTATTGCCTGGAAGCCCCCACTTTGAATTGTCCCACCTTTCTGAACCAAACCAATGTGTTTCTTAAATGTATTTGATTGATATCTCATGGCTCTATAAAAATGTATGAAACCAAGCTGCACCTTGACCACCTGGGACACATGTTCTCAGGACCAGCTTCCTAAGGGCTGTGTCACGGGCCATGGTCACTCATATTTGGCTCAGAACAAATCTCTTCAAATATTCTACAGAGTTTGACTCTTTTTGTTGACAGTATAAACCCAAAACAAGTGAAGATCATGATTTGAGGCCAGTATAAATTATATAAGAATCTTTTTTCTCATCATGAGATGAAAGAAAGCTGTACCATGGATGGTTGGATATTTGCTATGCTTTTCATATACCTAACATGAGAAAGCTAAATATTTTTAGCTAAATATTTTTATAAATGCTAATAATATATGCCAGATTATCCTTGTTCATGGCCTAACTTTCAAGCTGAATTAGACTTGCCCTGATGGTATCTATAGAGGCAAGACAAAGTCATAATATCTTACCCCAATACACATAAAACACGATATTAAAAATCATGCCAAACATTTAGTAAGCTGAAAGTACTCAATTTTACGTGTAGGGTATGTGTTAGCAGTTTTACGAGGCAAAAGCTATGTTTTTTGATACCTAGGATAGAACCTTTTCCCCAAATCAGCTCAGTTATTCTGCTTCTGAAAATACTGACAATAGAATACAATCATCTTTCCCTCCCTAATCCAAATACAAATTTTAACATTTCATAATTGATTTCACTGAAATCGAGGAACTGGTAGGTAGGGACTAACAGAGCAAGATGGGAGTAACCATTTTGAATAAAAAAGAACCTTAAATATTCTAATCAGAAATAGAATTGCCATCCTACTATGGCCATTTTGACTGTCTCATAATGTCCTGCTTAGATTTTATTGTTTATCCCCAAATATTTACTATTATGTGGGTTTGATTTTGATGGTGAAAATATATTTGAAGCAAAATAATAAAGGCAATATAATTAGTAACTGTGAATTGGACCATAATAGGAAAAGCTCATAATAGTGTGAGATCACTGTATTAATATTCTGAAAATTCCAGCTATCACTATTGATGACCTACATACATAATCTCTACCATAAAAGTTTCTATTTGCTTCTTAGGAACAGACTATAATATTGAATTTCTTGATTAGAAATTTCTTAAGTGGTAATGTTTCAACAATCTACAAATATCAAACATATTCATAGCATAGCTCTCTACTAAATCAATGATCTCTAGTGACATGGACAGAAATTTTATTCTTTTTTTTATAGTTACATATCATAATGTAAACATTTTGTAAAGATCTCTTGGAGGCATGTAAAATCTAAAATACAAAGGTTAAAAAGTGGTTTGCAAACCATGCAATAAAGCTTTTACTAAAAACTAGGTAAAAACAAAATTCTCCCTCTCTTTCTGTTTCAGATGTTCAATAGCCACGCATGGCTAGCGGCTACTGTATTTGGATTGTGTAGATATAGGATGTTTCCGCCATTGCAGAAAGTTTTATTAGACAGTATTGCCTTCATCCCTCCATCTCCCCTTTAACAAGAGTAGATCATAGGTAATATACTAAAGTTAACTTTTACACTTCAAAAAAGAGTTTATAAAGTCTTCTCAAGTGAGATTTAGTGTAATTTACAAATTAACATATTTAAATGCAAAGACTTTTTTTTTTTTTTTGAGACACGGTCTTACTCTGACACCCAGGCCGAATTGCAGTGGCTCAGTCACAGCTCGCCACAGCCTCAACACCCAGCCCCCCTCCCCGGGCTCAAGGGATCCTCCCACCTCAGTCTCCTAAGTAGCTGAGACTACAGGTGTGCACCATTATGTCTGGCTTTTTTTTTTTTTTAATTTTGTTTTTGTTGAGATGGGGTTTTGCCATATTGCCAAAACTGGTCTCGAACTCCTAAACTCAAGCAATCTGCCCTCCTTGGCCTCCCAATGTGCTGGGATTAGAGGCATGAGCAACTGTGCCAGGCCTGAAGAAGTTTCTCTATGTCTCTTTTTCTTCTGTGCTCCAGGTAAGAGAAAATTTGGCATGTATTGAAAATGTAATGTCAATAACATTGTTAGCATCCAAATAAATTATTTTAAACGTGCATGAAAGTAAAACACTAAGCATATATTTTTCCTGCTGAGTAGTTTTTGTTCTCTTTTATTTGAAGTGTTAAGGATTAAACTTACCTTCAGAAAATTAAAACTTTTTTAGCCTACTAAGATTAGATAATTGATTAAATTACAAAACGTATTAAATGTGATGATGGTAGTAATCTGCTTATTACACTGATTGGTCATCCCTGAATGTACAAGTTCTAATGGAGGAATTGGGCTTTTCCTTACACACAAGTATTTTCATAAAATTAATTTTTACCTGTACAACCAGATAGTCCAGTTAAAACTGTCAGGGTGCAATTCTTCATGATAATTCTAGTCATCCTGTGACAACATTTGTCCTGGACTGTCCTTTCAAATATATATATTTTTATATTTAGAAAAATATAAATTTTCTTACAGATATACTAATCTTTAATAGTTGATTTTCCTTGTAAAAATGTAAACAAAAACTAAAAAATGTAAAAATTGCGTTTAAGTGAATAAAAGGGGATTATTGAAAACTCAGTTTCATATTGAAAGTATTTTTTTTTCTTTTCAAATAGTTTTATTGACATATGCTTGTATACAACAGCCTTGGAAGTTAGAGGTCCCTCCAGGGGAGAGGGTAGATTTGCCTGTTTCCTGATGAGCTTAATAAGAACCTCTCTCTCTAGGCAAAGGGTGGGCAGGTTTGCTAGCAGTCCCCTTTCAAAGACTGGGGGTTCCTAAACTTAAGTTCTCTCAACTGTGACCCAAACCCACTGTGTGTGCACCACTCACCTGGTCTGATCTACCTCTCCTCCTTGGGACTTGAGGGAGCAAGGGAAACTGATGTCAGTGAAGCTCATGCTGCCTGCTGTGCTATGACTCCTGCCTCTAACCCAGGACTCTCTGTCATTTTGCCAGCCTCCACCAAACTGTGACAAGCTAACTTGTAGCTTGCAGGCTGGGTAGAATCTCAGACCTTACATGGTTCTCGAGAAAACATGACAAGTAAGAGCTAGTAGGTATGTCCTGAGAAGTCACAAACAACCCAACTCTGGGCGTGGGAGAGAGGCAGAGTGGGCAAAAAGGTGGAAGATGAAGGTGTGGGGGCTGTCGGAAACTGGGAACAAAATACATTTTATATTGTAACAACTAATCCATTTCATTTTGGGCCAGTTAAATCTGAATCTCAAAGTAGAGGATGGGTAATATTATTCATGGTCAAAATCAAAACAACTTAAGACACAGGTTCTTCAGAATAAAATGAATACGAGCTTTATTAATCTTCATCTTGCTTTTCCCAACTGATGTCAGTTCAAAACAGACTGCACATCAAAAACTTTCCCAGCCAGGGTCGTGGCTCACTCCTGTAATCCCAGCACTTTGGGAGGCTGAGGCAGGCGGATCACGAGGTCAGGAGTTCAACACCAGCCTGGTCAACATGGTGAAACCCCGTCTCTACTAAAAACACAAAAATTAGCAGGGCCTGGTGGCTCACGCCTGTAATCCCAGCTACTCGGGAGGCTGAGGCAGGAGAATCGTTTGATCCCGGGAGGTGGAGGTTGCAGTGAGCCAAGATCATGCCATTGCACTCCAGCCTGGGCTACAGGGCGAGACTCCAGTCTCAAATAAATAAATACATAAATAAATAAAATTCCCACTAGTCAGTGGAACTGTTCTCAATCTTAAAGCCACCACCCCCTTGTTCTTGCTTTGTTTCACAATCCTAAATCAACAAATAAATCTTTTTGTCAAAACTAAATGAAAACTGACCTGTTTGTCTTACACTCCCCACACACCCTCACTTCCCACTCGGCCACACCCTCCACCAACCGTGCAGGCCCCTGTCCCCAACCCCCAGAACCTCACCACTTCTATGGCCTCCACTCATTGCCTGCTAAGAAAAGCGCGTAAGGCGTGCCCAGAAGAATGAGGAGACTACCCTTCATAGAAAGTAATCAAAACATAACCAATTAAGTGAACTGCCACTTTCTGCATCTTTATTATTAAGGCGATGGAATTATATTTTGAAATTACATGGTACACTACTGAGTCCAGTCTTTAGCTATTCTGCCATACTCCCTCCTGTCGCGTATTTCCGTTAACGTTGATGGTAAATTCCGTTGGTAAATTTGATCTTGGGTGGTTTGAATAGGTAGTCGGAGGGAAACTTTAGGAAGAAGACCCCTCCCAGGTAGGAGCTGTCGTTGGGCCTCGTTATGGTGGCCTGCCAGTGGAGCATATCGTCCCACACTGGCCCTGCTGAGCAGTGGGGCTGGGGGTCGCGGGCCAGTTCGAGGAACTCCTTGTGGATGAGCTTTAGGGCCATAGTCCGCAACCCTTGGCGGCCAGTCCTCGGCACCGGGCCCGGAGCCTGGTAGAGGGCAGAGGTGGCGATCCCTGGGTGGGATGGGCAGCAAGGGTATGCCTCGGCAGATGAAGGGGCTGAGGGCAAGCTCCGGGGTCGGCGGGGGCGTCGGGGGAATCGGACGGTGGCGTAGAGGGGGACTGACCACGATAAGCGCCGGACGCTCCACCACACGCGATGGCCTGCAGGATGCCTGTAGCGTATGGTGACCGAGGCCGCGCTGTCCGGCGTTGGAGATTTTGTGGTTTGGAGCGGCCGCTCCTCTTGCTGGGGGCAGCCTGCCCCAGCGGCTAGCCCCGACTGCCCACATCGGGGCGCTGGACACCCGCGCTGATCTGCTCTGTGAGATCAGAGGCCACTGGGGCCTCTAGCCACCCCCACGCCCTGTGACGTTGACTGACGCGCTGCGCAGCGTTGCCAAGGTCCGGGGCCATGGGAGCGGGGTGGGGCTGGAAAGGAAGGTGAAAGGTTGGGGGGAAGGGGCGGGGCAGGATGTTCTGACTCCGTGCCTGTGCCTGGGCCGGCAAGTAGGACCCCAGGCACTGCCCTTCGCCCAGAGTGACCTCAAGAAATAGCAGTTCAATGAATGCCTCTCTGCCCCTTACCCACAGTCAACTTCCCTTCACAGTTTACCTCAGAGGCCTTCTCCTCCCCTCCCCTTCTCTCACCACTTGTGTATTTCCAGAGACATTCTCTTGTATAAATAAGTTTAGTAGATTTACTATCAATATAATACTTTTTAAAGTAACTTTTGACAATGTTTTGGTAAATTTATTTTTAATCAAGGTTTAAGGCCTTCAAAAAATTCAATTTGGAGCTAAAACAACTTCAATCGTTGAGGGACTCCTGACAATAAGAAGAAAGGGAGGGCAGGAAGAAAGGAAACCAGTAGTCCCTCTGGCATGTATGAACACTTCAGTTATTGTTGTTTATAAAAATGATCTTTTTTTTAAAAAAAAAATAATGGTTCCAATAACAAGCATAACTGCGGAACAGAATGTCTCATTCTTGAGGCTTTGCAGTACTAATACTGATTCACATGAAACCTTCACTTGCTTATATGTGGGAATGTAAAGCCAAATAAGTACCTTTAAAATAGGTTGGCCTGTCAGCCATATCAATTCCTTTCCATGAATTAAGTAAGAATTCAATAAGGAGTTCTTAAGTTTTGGTAAGAAATTACAGTATATAAACTAGGTCATAGTTTTATTTATAAGATACTGGATATCCTTCAGTTATGAAAATTTCTTGCTGCAAAATTAGTTAACTAACATACCTATTCAACCAACTTGTGAAGGCAAGATAATTATTTGACAGTACTTTACAAAGGTGAGAATGTAGATATAGAAGAGTGAATCTTCTAACAGTAGGTTAAAATGTCTAACTAATTGAAAGGAACTTTCCCAAATCTGTTGGGTTATCTATTACCACAGAAGAACAGGGTTTGTGTGCTTCTGAACAAATGAGTTATTCCTGTTACTGTGGTGAAATACCAAATTTTCTTTTTGTTTATTTATTTTTCTTGTGCAACAGTTTATTCTTCCTGGGAGACCAATGAGAATAACAAGGGATAGAGATCAATTAAAAACAAATCTCTGCAACTACATGTGTGCTAGTATTTTAAATTACATTTTCAGTAGTTTTAGTTTATATTTTTTATTTCAATAGCTTTTGGAGTACAAGTGGTATTTTGTCACTTGGAAGAATTATATAGTAGTGAATTCTGAGATTTTAGTGCATCCATCACCTGAGTCATGTACATTGTACCTGATGTGTAGTTTTTTAGCCCTAGGCCCTCTCTCATCTTCCCACTTTTGAACCTCAAAAGTTTATTATATCACTCTGTATATCTTTGCATATTCATATCTTAGCTCCTACTTATAAGTGAGAACATATGGTTTTTGGTTTTCCAATCCTGTGTTAAGTCACTTAGAATAGTGGTCTCCAGCTCTATCCAAGTTGCTGCAAAATGCATTATTTCATTCCTTTTAATGGCTGATAGTATTCCATGGTGTATATAAGCCACATTTTCTTTATCCACTGATTAATTGATGGGCACTTAGGTTTATTCCACATCTTTGTAATTGCAAATTATGGTGGAATAAACATGCAAGTGCAGGTATCTTTTTGATGTGACTTATTTTCCTTTGGGTAGATACCCAGTAGTGTGATTGCTGGATTGAATAGCTCTACTTTCAGCTCTTTAAGGAATCTCCATGATGGTTTCCATAGAGGTTGTACTAATTTACATTCCTACTAGTAGTGCATAAGGGTTCCCTTCTCTCCACATCCATGCCAAAAACTACTGTTTTTTGACTTTTTAAATAATGGCCATCCTGGCTGGGGTAAGGTGATACCTCATTATGGTTTTAATTTGCATATCCCTGATGATTAGTGATGTTGAGCATCTTTTCATATGTTTATTGGCCATTTGTATATCTTTTTCTTTTCTTTTTTTTGAGACAGAATCTCACACTGTCCCCAGGCTGGAGTGCAGTGGCGCGATCTCCGCTCACTGCAACCTCCATCTCCGGGTTCAACCAGTTCTCCTGCCTCAGCGTCCTGGGATTACAGGAGTGAGCTACCGTGCCTGGCCTTGCATATCTTCTTTAGAGAAATGTCTATTCATGTCCTTTGCCCACTTTCTAATGTGATTATTATATTTTTTTTGGTGATTTGAGTTACTTGTAGATTCTGGATACTAGTCCTTTGCTGGATGCTTAGTGTGCAAATATTTTCTCCCATTCTGTCGGTTATCTGTTTACTCTGCTGATTATGAAATATCGAACTTTAAAGCCTTCAATTAAAATAACATTTTGTCAGAAAATTCAAAAAGAAAACCAAGGCTTAGCTATTTGTTTAGGAAGCATATTATTGCAAAATGTTATATAGTAAGCTTCCAGAGTTTTCTTTTTCCATTGTGATGAGATTTGAAAATTATTTTGCAAGACCGGATGCCATTAACACCAACCTTTTTGATTGAGTTGGGAATAAGGATCATGTAATCTTGTGTAAGTTCTCTGTTGGGAAAAAGTGTAGTCATGATCCCCACATCTGTTCTGTGATAAAATCCTGTGGAATATACCTTTTACATTCATCTGCACTTAATCTTCAATGTGGCTGTCTTAATTTAGGATGTAATCATTTGTCACCAGACTACAATAATATATTTTTAATAAGTGTCTGTGCTGTTAATCTTGCCACTCTCAAATCCACCTTCAGCACTGCCATGTAGAATTATCTCCCTAAAGCATAAATTAATTCCTATCATAATCCATACTTAAAGCTTTCAATAGCCATCCATCACCTGAAGGGTAAATTCTAAATTTCAGGGCTGCCCAATTAAGTCATCCCCAGGGAGAATTAAACTTCTCTCTGTTCAGCTACACAGAATCTTTTATGTGTCTCTAATACAGCATGTATTATACTGCATTGTCACTATCTTTTTAAATGTTCATCCTCTTAATCAGTCTGATAGCTCTTTGATGTGAAAATTGGCCTTGATCATTTTTGTATCTTACTGCCCAGTATATATTAGGTACTCAATACTTTCTGGATAAGTGCATGCATTCATTAAAGATGAATGATGGCTGGGCGCAGTGGCTCAAGCCTGTAATCCCAGTACTTTGGGAGGCCGAGGCGGCCAGATCACCTGAGGTCAGGAGTTTGAGACCAGCCTGGCCAACATGGTGAAACCCCATCTCTACTAAAGACACAAACATTAGCCAGGCGTGGTGGCATGTGCCTGTAGTCCCAGCTACTCGGGAGGCTGAGGCAGGAGAATTGCTTGAACCTGGGAGGGAGAGGTTGAAATGAGCCGAGATTGTGCCATTGCACTCCAGCCTCGGCGACAGAGCAAGACTCTGTCTCAAAAAAAAAAAAAAAAGAGATGAATGATATAATTTATACACAGTCATTGATATAAAATTTCTCCACCTAACCTAAAATTTAAGTCAGAAACATTACAGGCCACAAGATATTATACCACAATAAAAATAAAAAGCAATATAATGGGAATACATTGTATTGTTCTTCATTTGACAAGCCCTGAACGACAGTTCAAAGCCACTTTAACTTTTTCTTTTTTTTTTTTTTTGAGACAGGGTCTTGCTCTGTCACCCAGGCTAGAGTGCAGTGGCACAATCTCGGCTCACTGCAACCTCTGCCTCCCAGGTTTAAGCCATTCTCCTGCCTCAGCCTCACGAGTAGCTGGAATTAGAGGCATGTGCCACCACACCTGGCTAATTTTTATATTTTGAGTAGAGACGGGGTTTCACCATGTTGGCCAGGTTGGTCTCGAACTCCTGGCCTCAGGTGATTCACCCGCCTCTGCCTCCCTAAGTGTTGGGATTACAGGCGTGAGCCACCATGCCCAGCCCTCTTTAACTTTTATCTGCATAATATACTGCTCTGCTTAGAGTTAAACCAAAATGAAATACTGCTTTCTTCAGATACAGTCACTATTACTCTTTTATTATAGATAATCAACTGTGAAAATTTAGGAATAAAAATGATATAAGTATCTTTTCAATATGGTATCTTAATGAAACATATATTTAATTCCACAAAGAGTCAGCCTTATTTCATTGCCCAAGGCAAAGGCTGTCAAGGCAAAGCTGGCTCCATACTATCTTTTTCACAGTTCATACTCATCAGAGGTCAGTCAAAACTTCAGCATTTCTTTCTCTTTTCTTTTTTTTTTTTTTTTTTTGAGTTGGAGTCTCACTCTGTCACCCAGGCTGGAGTGCAGTGGTGCGATCCCGGCTCACTTCAACCTCTGCCTCCCGGGTTCAAGCAATTCTCCTGCCTCAGCCTCCCGAGTAGCTGGGATTAGCCCAGCTAATTTTTGTATTTTTAGTAGAGATGGGGTTTCATCATGTTGGCCAGGGTGGTCTCGAACTCCTGTCCTCAAGTGATCCACCTGCCTTGGCCTCCCAAAATGCTGGGATTACAGGCATGAGCCACCGGGCCTGGCCAAAACTTTAGCATTTCACTTAAAATGTGTGGGGTGGAATAGATTATTAACTATCAACTGTTTTTCATCTTCCATCACCCTGTGTAGCTAAAATGTCCCTTCTAGTTATCTAAGACAAATAGAAGCTCAGCAGCTGATTCTTTATTCTCCCATGGCTGATATTCCTCTCTTTGCCCTTAACAGGAGTTGACACAATTATGGAGTTTTCTTTGGTTTCTATCACAAAAGTAATAAAAAACCAATATCAGTTTAATGAGATTGTTGTGTCAAAAAGATTTTTGGGACTGTCTTTTTTTAATTATTCAATTTCGAGAGTTCTTTATTATGAATACAAGTCCATTATCATATATATGACATGCAAATATTTTTTCCTCCTCTGTTGCTTGCCTTTTCATTCTCTTAACATTATCATTCAAAGAACAGAAAATTTTATTTTGATGAAGTCCCAATTTATTGATATTTTCTTTTGTGGATTGGGATTTTGGTATCTTACCTATTAAATCTTTGCTTAACCTAAGGTCACAAAGAGTTTCTCCTATATTTTGTTTTAGGAGTTTTTTACTTTTAGGTTTTAAATTTTGGTCTGTGATCCATTTTGAGTTAACATTTGTATATGGGGGGAGTGGCCAAGATGGCTGACTAGAAGCAGCTAGCATGCATGGCTCTCAAGGAGAGGAATGGAAGGGGTGAGTAAATACACCTTCAACTGAAACCTTCAGGTACTCACATTGGGGCTAATCAAGGAAACAACTTGACCCATGAAGAATGAAGAAAAGCAAGACAGAACAATGATGCACCCAGGAGCCACACAGAGCCAGGGGAACTTCCCTGCCTGGGTAAGCAGTGAGTGAATGTGCCACAGTGAAAAACTATGCTTATCCCATGGACCTTTGCAACCCTTGGGTCAGGAGATATCCTTGTGAACTCACTCCGCTAGGGCCTTCAGTCTGACACACAGAGCTATGTGGAGTCTTGGCAGAGCAGCTGCTCAGGCATGCGTGGAAACCCTGGAACCTTAGATACTGGGGATTTCTGGCAAAAGTAGCTGCAGCTCCAGCAAAATAGGAGGTTAGACCCCCATACATACCCCCAGGAAAGAGGCTGAATCCAGGGGGCTGAGCAGTGACAGCCTGAAGGCTCTACTTCCGTGGCACCTCACAAGATAAGACCCACTGGCTTGGAATTCCAGCCAGCCACTGGTAGTGGCATTGCCCTTCCCTAAGAAGGAGCTTCCTAGGGGGAAGGGTGGGCCACCATCTTTGCTGTTTGGGCACCTTAACCATTCCACCCTTCAGGCTTTGGAGAGTCCAAGCTGACTGGGGGCATAAAGGATCCTGCGCCACAGCACAGTTGCTCTACCAAAACATGGCCAGACTTCTTTGAGCAGGTGCCTGATTCCATTCTTCTTCACTGGGCAGGACCTCCCAAATGGGGCCTCTAGCCACCTCCACCCATATCCTGCAGCTGACAGAGATTTGAATTCCCCCCTTCGTCAGTGCTCCTAGAGGGAGGGGTGGGCCACCATCTTTGCTGTTTGGGCAACTTAGCTGATCCAGCCTTTAGGCTTTGGAGAGTCTGAGCTGACCAGGGGTGGAAGGGATCCCTCAGCACAGCACAGATGCTCTACTAAAACATAGCCAGACTACTTCTTTAAGCAAGCCAGTGGGTCTTATCTTATGAGGTGCTGTGGAAGTAGAGCCTTCAGACAGACTACTTCTTTAAGTAGGTCGCTGATCCCACTCCTCTTCACTGGGTGGGACCTCCCAACCAGGTGCTGCAGCCACCACCACTGGTGTTCTCCAGCCAACAGAGAGTTGAATTCTCCCTGGGATGGTGCTCCCAGAAGAAGGGGTGGGCCACCATCTTTGCTGTTTGGGCAACTTAGCTGTTTCAGCCTTTGGGCATTGGAGAGTCTGAGCCGACTGGGGTGGAAAGGATCTCCCAGCACAGCAGAACCACCCTACCAAAACATGGCCAGACTACTTTAAGTGGGTCCCCATTCCCATTCCTACTCACTGGGTGTGACCTCCCAAACTGGGCTTCCAACCACCCCTGTCCATGTTCTTTGGCCAACAGAGATTTGTAAGAGCTCCCTGGGACAGAGAGCTCCCTGGGACAGAGAGCTCCCTGGGACAGAGCTCCTAAAGGGAGGGGCAGGCCACCATCTTTGCTGTTTGGGCCACTTAGCCATTTCAGCCTTCAGGCTTTGGAGTGTCTGAGGCAACGAGGGGCTAAAGTGGACCCCCACCACAGCACAGCTGCTCTACCAAAACATGGCCAGGTTGATTTTTTAAGCATGTCCCTGATACAGTTCCTCTTCACTGGGTGGGACCTCCAAACCAGAGTCTCCAGACACCTTCTACAGGTGACTTTTGGCTGGAAATAGGCCTGTAACTCCTTGAGATGAAGCTTCCAGAGGGAGGAACAGGTTGGCATCTTTGCTGTTTTATAGCCTTCATGGCTGATACCTCTAGGTATTGGAAAATCCAAGGCAACTGAGGACTAGAGTGGGCCCCAACCATACCACAGCAGCCCTATGGACAAGTGGTCACACTATTATGTGGGTGCCCATTCCCATATCTCCTCACCAGGCAGGTGCTCCAGGCTTCAGATTCCAGCCATCCTCCACCAGAACCATCAAGACACAGGTAACTCCCTGTGCAGAGCCTCCAGGAGCAACTGAAGGCCTCTCTGCCACTGCCTCTGCAGTGGAACTGCCCTTGCCATCATCAGACTAACAAAGGAGCGAAGACCCTAAGTACCTCCAAGAAGCTACAGCTGACCCATAAAGAGGCCAGTCCATCTCCCATGGATCCCACACACATCAGACAGGGAACCCTTGGCTTGGGCCCACAGCATAGATTCTCCATCCTGGGATGATTGCACTGAGCAATTGCTGATCTGCATCTCTCTGGGGTGGAGCCCTCAGAAGACAAATAAGTGACCCTTGGCCACAATGACTACTAAGATCCCTTCCTCTGCTGCCTCCAAGTTGGAGAAGAAACATAAACAATGAGATTGCCCCAGAGCTGCAATGGGTAGCCCAGGAGTACCAAGTCAAGATCTGTAGCCAGCACTCAAGCAGGAGATGAACCCACACTTTCAGAGCATTGAAAGGGAACAGAGCTGCAACTGTGTGGACACATAAGGAAGCCACAAAGCCATTCAAGAGTCTACCAATTGACCAATAAGCCTAAGTGCCACCTGCTGGATCACACAGCATAGAGTGAACACCAAAAATATTTCACTAATATACACCCATCTAAAACCAGAGATGAGAAGTCAGCCTCAAGTAAAGACCCTACACAATGCCTTGGCCTGGTGAAAACATCCAGGAAAGAAGTCTATTGAATGTACTCAATCTACAATGCAGTTAATGGAACACCCACATGCATAGATGAGAAAAACCAACACAAAAAATCTGGTAACTCGAATGGCCAGATTGTCTTATGTTATCCAAACAACTGCACCAGTTCTCAAACAAGAGTTCTTAACAAGGCTGATCTGGCTGGAATGACATAATAGAATTCAGAATATGGCTAGAAAGAAAGATCATTGAGATTCAGGAGGATGGCAAAACCCAATCCAAGGAAAATAAGAATCACAATAAAGTAATACTGGAACTGAAGGTTGAAATAGCAAGTTAAAAAAACAAAACAAAACAAAAAAAACCTAACAGATCTGACAGAGCTGAATTACACAACACAAGAATTTCACAATGCAGTCACAGGTATTAACAGCAGAATAAACCATGCTAAGGAAATAATTTCAGAACTTGAAGACTGGTTCTCTGAAATAACACAGACAAAAATAAAGAACAAAGTATAAAAAGGAATGGACAAAACCTCTGAAAAGTATGAGATTATGTGAAGAGGCCAAATCTACAAATCATTGGCATCCCTGAAATGGAGGCGGAGAAAGCACACAACTTGGAAAATATATTTCAGGATATCATCTGTGAAAACTTCCCCAACTTTGCTAGAGAGGCCAATAGTCAAATTCAGGAAATAGACAGCACTCCTACAAGATTCTACACAAGAAGATCATCCTCAAGACACATAATTGTCTGATTCGTAGGGTCAAAAAAGAAAGAATGTTAAAGGCAGCTAGAGAGAAAGGGCAGGTTAATTGCAAAGGGAACACCATCAGGCTAACGGCACACCTCTTAGCTAAAACGCTACAAGCCAGAAGAGATTGGGGACCTATATTCAACATTCTTAGAGAAAAAACTCTTCAACCAATAATTTTATATCCAGGCAAACTAAACTTCCTAAGTGAAGGAAAAATAAGATACTTTAAGATAGGCAAATGTTGAGGAAATTTCTTACCACCAGACCCGCCTTGCAAGAGATCTTGAAAGGAGCACTAAATATCAAAAGGAAAGACTGCTACCAGCTAATACAAAAACACACTAACACACAGACCAGTGTCACTGTAAAGCAACTATGAGAACAAGCCAACATTATAACCAGCTAACATCACAATGACAGGATCAAATCCACACGTATCAAAGTAACCTTGAATGTAAATGGGCTAAATGCCTCACTTAAAAGGTGCAGAGTGGCAAGCTGGATAATAAAAGCAAGACCCAGTGGTATACTGTCTTTGAGAGACCCATCTCACACATAATGACAATCATGGGCTCAAAATAAAAGGACAGAGGAAAATCTACTAAGCAAATGGAAAGCAAAAAAGCATGTGTTGCAATTCTAATTTCAGACAGAACAGATTTCAAGCAAACAGAGATCAAAAGAGACAAAGAAGGGCATTACCTAATGGAAAAAGGTTCAATTAAACAAGAACACCTAACTATCCTAGATATATATGCACCCAATACAGGAGCACCCAGATTCACTAATCAAGTTCTTAGAGATCTATGAAGAGACATAGACTCCAACACAATAATAGTGGGAGACTTCAACACCCCACTGACAGTATTGAAAAGATCATCAAGCAGAATAAAATTATCAAAAATATTTTAAGCCTAATCTCAACATTGGACCGAATGGATTTTAGACCTTTATAGAATTCTGCACACCCAAACAACAGAATATACATTCTTTTCATTGCCATATGGCACATACTCCAACATTGACCACATAATTAGACATAAAACAATGCCCAACAAATGTAAAAGAACCAAAATCATACCAAACACACTTTCAACCACAGCATAATAAAAACAGAAGTCAAGATTATGAAAATTGCCTAAGACCATGCAATTACATGGAAATTAAACAACATGCTCCTGAATGACTTTGGGGTAAATTACGAAATTAAGACAGACATCAAGAAGTTCTTTAAAACTAATGAAAACAAAGATACAACATACCAGAATCTCTGAGACAGAGCTAAGGCAGTGTTAAGAGGAAAATTCAGGCTGGGCATGATGGCTCATGCCTGTTATCGCAGCACTTTGGGAGGCTGAGGCGGGCAGATCACTTGAGGTCAGGAGGTAAAAATACAAACATTAGCCAGGCATGGTGATGTGTGCCTGTAGTTCCAGCTACTTGGGAGGCTGAGGCAGGAGAATCGCTTGAACCCAGGAGACGAGGTTGCAGTGAGCCAAGATTGCGCCATTGCACTCCAGCCTGGGTGACAAGAGCAAAACTCCCTCTCAAAAAAAAAAAAAAAAATTATAGCACTAAATACCCACATCAAAAACTTAGAAAGACCTCAAGTTAACACCCTAACTTCACAGCTGAAAGAATTAAATAAGCAAGAACAAATCGACCCCAAATCTAGCAGAAGATGAGAAATAACAAAAATCAGAGCTGAACTGAAGGAAATTCATACATGAAAAATCCTTCAAAAGATCAATGAATCCAGGAGCTTTTTTTTCCCACAAAAAATTAATAAAATAGGCCACTACCTAGACTAATGAATAAAAGAGAGAAGATCCTAATAAACACAATTAAAAATGCTGACGGGAATGTTACCACTGACCCCATAGAAAAAAACAACCATCAGAAACTACTAAAAACACTACTATGCACACAAGCTAGAAAACCTAGAAAAGAGGATAAATTCTTGGAAACATACACCTTCCCAAGAGTAAGCCAGAAAGAAATTGATTCCCTGAACAGACCCATAATGAGCTCTGAGATTGAATCAGTAATAAATAGCCTATGAAACAAAACAAGGCTTGGGACATGATGGACTCATGCCGAACTCCTCCAGATATGCAAAGAAGAGCTGGTACCATTCCTACATAAACTATTCCAAGAAACTGAGGCAGAGAGTCTCCTCCCTGACTCATTCTATGAGGTCAGAGTAATCTTGATACAAAAACCTGGCAGAGGTACAACAAAAAAAGAAAACTTCAGGTCAATATTCTTGATGAACAATGATACAAAAATCCTTAACAAAATACTTGCCAATCAAATCCAGCAGCACATCAAAAAGTTAATCTGCCATGATTAAGTAGGCTTCATCCTCAAGATGCAAGGATGGTTCAACGTAGGCAAATCTATAAATGTGATTCATCACATTAACAGAACTAAAGACAAAAACCACATAATTATCTCAATAGATGCAGAAAAGGCTTTTGATAATGTTGAACAGTGTTGCATGTTAAAAACTCTCAAAAAAGTAGGTGGTGAAGGAATATACCTCAAAATAATGAGCCATATATAAAAAACTCACAACCAACATTATATACTAAATAGGCAAAAGCTGGATGCATTCCCCTTGAAAACCAGCACAAGCTGAGGATGCCCTCTATCACCATTTCTATTCAACATAGTATTGGAAGTTCTAGACAGTATAATCAGGCAAGAGAAATAAAGAACATCCAAATAGGAAGAGAGAAAGTCAAACTCTCCCTGTTTGCAGATGACATGATTCTATATTTACAAAAAACCGTGGTTTGTGCCTAAAAGTTCCTCCAGCAGATAAACAACTTCAGCAAAGTTGCAGGATACAAAATCAATATACAAAAATCATTAGCCTTCCTATACACCAACAACAGCCAAACTGAGAGCCAAATCAGAAAGGCAATTTCATTCACAATTGCTACAAAAGAATAAAATACCCAGCAATACAGGTGTAAGATCTCTAAAATTAGAACTACAAAATATTGCTCAAAGAAATCAGAGAAGAAACAAACAAATGGAAAAACATCCAATGCTTACGGATAGGAAGAATCAACAGCACTGAAATGGTTATACTGCCCAAAGCAATTTACAGATTCAATGCTATTTCTATCCAACTATTATATCAATGACATTCTTCACAGAACTATTATGAACTATTTTAAAATTTATGTGAAACCAAAAAGTAGCTTGAATAGCCAAGGCAATTCTAAGCAAAAAGAACAAAGCTGGAAGCATCACTTTACTCAACTTCAAACTATACTACGTGGCTACAGTAACCCAAACAGCATGGTAGTGGTACAAAAACAGGCACATAGACCAATGAAATAAAACAGAAAGCCCAGAAATAAGACCACACATCTGTGACCATCTGATCTTCAACAAAGCTGACAAAACAACAATGGGGAAAAGACTCCCTATTCAATAAACGGTCCTGGGATAACTGGTTAGCTATATGCAGAAGGTACAAGTAGAACCCCTTCCTTAGACCATACACAAAAATTAACTCAAGATAAAGACTTAAATGTAAAATCTGAACCTATGAAATCCCCGGAAGACAACCTACGCAATACCATTCTGAACTAAGTAATGGGCAATGATTTCATGATGAAGATGCAAAAGCAATTGCAACAAAAGCAAAAATTGACAAGTTGGATCTAATTAAACTAAAGAGCTTCTGCACAACAAAATAAACTATCAGCAGATTACACAGACAACTCACAGAATGGGAGAAAATTTTTGCAAACTATGCATCTGACAAAGGTCTGATATCCAACCTCTATAAGGAACTTAAACAAATTTATAAGAAAAAACAACCCCATAAAAAAGTAACCAAAGGATATGAATGGACACTTCTCAGAAGGAGACATATATGCAGCCAATAAGCATACGAAAAAAAGCTCAACATCACTGATCATTAGAGAAATGCAAATCAAAACCACAATGAGATACCAACTCACACTAGTCAGAATGGCTATTATTAAAGTCATAAAATAACAGATGCTGGTGAAGTTGTGGAGAGAAAGGAACACTTATACACTGTTGGTGGGAATGTACATTAGTTCAATCATTGTGGAAGACTGTGGCAATTCTTCGAAGACCTAAAAACAGAAATCCCATTTGACACAGCAATCCCACTACTGCTGATATACCAAAAGGAATATAAATCATTCTATTATAAAGATGCATATGTTCATTGCAGCACTATTCACAATAGCAAAGACATGGAATCTACCCAAATGACCATCAGTGATAGACTTAGACTGCATAAAGAAAATGTGATACATATACATCATGGGATACTATGCAACCATTAAAAAAAATGATATTGGCCGGGTGTGGTGGCTCACCCCTGTTATCCCAGCACTTTGGGAGGCCAAGGCAGGTGGATCACCTGAGGTCAGGAGTTCAAGACCAGCCTGGGCAACATGGAGAAACCCCTTCTCTACTAAAAATACAAAATTAGCTGGGTGCGGTGGTGCATCCCTGTAATCCCAGTTACTTGGGAGGCTGAGGCAGGAGAATAGCTTGAACCTGGGAGATGGAGGTTGCAGTGAACTGAGATCACGCCATTGCCCTCCAGCCTGCGCAACAAGAGTGAGACTCCATCTCTCTACACACACACACACACACACACACACACACACACACACACACACACACACACACACAGAATGACATTGATATGGTTGGGCTTTGTGTCCTCACCTAAATCTCATCTTCAATTGTAATCCTCAGGTGTTGAGGGAGAGACCTGGTAGGAGGTGATTGGATCATGAAGGCTGTTGCCCCCATGCTGTTTCATAATAGTGAGTGAGTTCTCAGGAGATCTGATGGTTTTATAAGGGGCTCTTCCACCTTTGCTTTCTTCACTCTCTTGCTGCCTGCCATGTAAAACATGCTTGCTTCTTCTTTGCTTTCCATCATGATTGTGAGTTTCCTGAGGCCTCCACAGCCATATGGAACTGAGTCAATTAAACCTTTGTTTATAAATTACCCAGTCTCTGTAGCAGTGTGAAAATGGAATAATACAAACATCATATCCTTTGCAGGGAAATGGATAGAGAAGGAGGGCATTATCCTTAGTAAACTAATGCAGGAACAGAAAACTAAATACCGCATATTCTCACTTATAAGTGGGAGCTGAATGATTAGAACACATGGACACATGTCAGGGAACAATACACACTGTGGCCTATTGAAGGGTGGAGGGTGGGAGGAGGGAGACGATCAGGAAAAATAATAATGGATACTAGGCTTAATGCCTGGGTGATGAAATAATCAGTACAACAAACCCCCATGACACATGTTTACCTATATAACAAACCTGCACATGTACCACTGACCTTAAAATAAAAGTTAAAAAAGAATTTTGGCATCTTTATTAATAATGAATATGGGTCTGTTGTTTTAATTTTTGTAATGACTTTGTGTGGTTTTGGTATCAAGCAAATATTGACCTCATAACATTTTCTTGACGAGTTTCTTTAGAATGGGTACTTTTTTTTTTTTTTAATTTAAGTGTTTGGTAGAAGTCACTAGTGAAGCCACCTAAACTTGCAGTCTTGATTGTGGTAAAGGTTTTTGCTACAAATTCCAATTCTTTAACAGGTGTAAGTTTATTCAGATTTTCTCTTTCTTCTTGAATTACCTTTGGTAGTTTGTATATTTCAAATAAGTGTTTCATTTCATTTAAGTTTTCAAATTTATGAGCATAAGTTGTTTTAAATATCGATTATTAGGTTCTAAATATCTTTAGAACATGCATCAACCTTCATTTTTGATATTGGTAATTAGTGCCATCTCAGTTTTTATTTTTTAACTTTGACATTTATTTTAGATTCGGGGGTACATGTGCAGGTTTGTTACCTGAGTATACTGAGTAATGCTGAAGTTTGGAGTATTATTGATCCCATAACCCAGGTACTAAACATAGTACACAACAGTTAGTTTTTTGACATTTGCACCTCCCTCCCTCTTCTAGTAGTCCCCAGTCTCTGTTGTTGCTGTCTTTATGTTCATGTGTACTCAATGCTCAGCTCAATGCTGAGCTCCCATTTATAAGTGAGAACATGCAATATTTGGTTTTCTCTTCCTGCATAAATTTGCTTAGAATAATGGCTTTCAGCTGCATCTACGTTGCTGCAAAGGATATGATTTTACTCTTTTTGTGGCTGCATAGTGTTCCATGATATATATAAACCAAATTTCCGTTATCCAATCCACCATTGATGGGCACCATGATGATTCCATATCTTTGTTATTGTGAATAGCACAGCAATAAACATACAAGTGCATGTGTCTTTTTAGTAGAACGATTTATTTTCCTTTGGATATATACCCAGTAAAGAAACTGCTGGATCAAATGGTAGTTCTTTGAGAAATCACTGAACTGCTTTCCACAGTGGCTGAGCTAATTTACTTTTTCACCATCAGTGTATAAGTGTTCCTTTTTCTCTGAAGCCTCACCAGCATCTTTTTTTTTCTTTTTAATAATCACCATTTCGACTGGTGTGAGATGGTATCTCATTGTGATTTTGATTTTCATTCCTCTGAATATTAGTGATATTGAGCATTTTTTCATATGTTGGTAGGATACTTGTATGTCATCTTTTGAGAAACGTCTGTTCATGTTTTTTGCCCATTTTTAATGGGGTAATTCAGTTTTGCTTATTCAATTAAGTTCCTCAAGGATTCTGCAAATTAGACCTTTGGCAGATGCATATTTGACAAATATTTTCTCTTTTGGTTGTCTTTACTTTGTTGATAGTTTTTTTTTTTTCTGTGCGGAAGCTCTTTTGTTTATCTAAGTCCTACTTGTCAATTTTTTTTTGGTTGCAATTACTTTTGAAGACTTAGTCATATATTTTTTCTTAAGGCCAATGTCCAGAATGGTTATTCTAGGTTTTCTTCTAGGATTCTTACAGTTTGAGGTTTTACATTTTAATCTCTAATTCATCTTCAGTTAATTTTTTTATATGGTGAAAGGTAGGAGTCTAGTTTTATTCTTCTGCATATGGCTAGACAGCTATCCCAGCACCACTTATTGAATAAGGAATCCTTTCCTCTATTGCTATTTTTTTTCAACTTTTTCAAAGAACACGTGGTTGTAGGTATGCAGTTTTATTTTTGGGTTCTCTATTCCCTTCCTTTGGTCTATGTGTGTGCTTTTGTACCGGTACATGTTGTTTTGGTTAATGTGTAGCCTTGCAGTATAGTTTGAAGTCCGGTAATGTAATGTCTCCAGCTTTGTTCTTTTTGTTTAAAATTGCTTTGGCTATTCAGGCTCTTTTTTGGTTCCATGTGAATGGTAGAATACTTTTGTCCAATTCTGTGAAAAATGATGCTGGTAGTTTTATATGAATAGTGTTAAATCTGTAGATTGGTTTGGGCAGTATAGCCATTTAGTGATATTGATTCTTCCAATCCATGAGCATGGAATGTTTTTCTATTTTGTTGTGTCATCTGTGACTTCTGTTAGCAGTATTTTGTAGTTTTTCTTTTCTTTTCTTTTCTTTTCTTTTCTTTTCTTTTTTTTGAGACAAAGTTTCACTCTTGTTGCCCAGGCTGGAGTGCAATGGTGTGATTGTGGTTCACTGAAACCTCCGTCTCCTGGATTCAAGCAATTCTCCTGCCTCAGCCTCCCAAGTAGCTAGAATTATAGGCATGTGCCACCACGCCCAGCTATTTTTTTGTATTTTTGGTAGAGACAGGGTTTCACTGTGTTGGCCAGGCTGGTCTTGAACTCCTGACCTCAGGTCATACACCCACCTCGGCCTCCCAAAGTGCTGGGATTACATGTGTGAGCCACTGCACCTGGCCTGTAGTTTTTTTTCTGTAGAGATCTTACACCTCCTTGGTTTACTGTATTTGTAGGACTTTTACTTTTTTGTAGTTATTTTAAATGAGATTTCATTCTTGATTTGTCTTTCAGCTTGAACATTATTGGTGTATAGAAATGCTACTGATTTTTGTACATTGATTTTGTATCTTGAAACTTTACTGAAGTCATTTATCCATTCCAGTTGGCTTTTGGTGGGATCTTTAGGGTTTTCTAAGTATAGAATAATATTGTCAGTGAAGAGAGACAGTTTGACTTCTTTTTCTATTTGATTGCCTTTTATTTATTTTTCTTGTCTGATTGCTCTGGCTAGGACTTCCAGTATTACGTTGAATAGTAATGATGAGAGTGGGCATCCTTATTGTATTCCAGTTATCAAGGGGAATGCTTCCAGCTTTTGCTCATTCACTGTGATGTTTTCTGTGGGTTTGTCATAGATGACTTTTATTATTTTGAGGTATGTTTCTTCAATGCCTAGTTTGTTGAGAGTTTTAAATGAGGGGTGTTGGATTTATTGAAAGTTTTTTTTCTGCACCTATTTAGATAATCATATGGTTTTTGTTTTTAATTCTGTTTATGTGGTGAATCACATTTATTGATGTGCATATGTTGAACCAACCCTGCATCCCAGGAATAAAGCCTACTTGAAGTGATGAATTAACTTTTTGATATGCTGTTGGATTTGGTTTGCTAGTATTTTGATGAGGATTTTTGTGTCTTTGTTCATCAGGGATATTGGCCAGTTTCTTTTTTTCCATTGTCTCTTTTTTAGGTTTTGGTATCAGGGTGATGTTGCTTTCATAGAATGAATTAGGGAGGAGTCCCTCCTTGATTTTTTGCAATGGTTTCAGTAGTGTTGGTACCAGCTCTTCGTATATCTGGTAGAATTCAACTGTGAATTTATCTTGTTAGGGGATTTTTTTTGGTTGGTAGGTTAATTATTGATTCAATTTCATAACTAGATATTGGTCTGTTCAAAGTTTTAATTCTTCCTGATTCAATCTTGGGAGATTTCATCACTGTTTTTTTTCCTGATCATTTGGTGTAGAAGATGATTAATTTTGCTGATCTTCTCAAAGATCCAGGTTTTTGTTTCATTGATTGTATGTTTTTGTTTTGTTTTGGTTTTTATTTCATTGTTTTTTCTTCTTATCTTTATTATTTTCTCTCTTCTGCATAATTTGGGTTTTCATTTGCTCTTTCCTTTTTAGTTTTTCTTTTTTTTGTGGAAGCTGAAGTTTTTGATTTGAGACATTTCTTCTTTTCCAATATAAGAATTTATCAGTTTCTGCCTAAGTACTGCTTTAGTGGCATCTTATAAATTTTGATATGTTGTTTTTATTTCATTTATTTCAAAATACTTTCCAATTTCTTTTTTTTTCCTTTGGCCTATGGGCTATTTAGAAGTAAGTTATTCAGTTTTTGAATATTTGGATATTTTCCAGATATCTCTTTGTTACTGATTTCTAATTTAATTCCATCGTGAGCAAACATTTGTCTGAGTTGAATTCTTTTAAATTTATTGAGATTAGTTTTGTTGCACAACATATCATCTATCTTTGTAAAAGTTCCTTGTGCTCATGAAAAAAATGTATATATTGTGTGTTTTGAAGTTTTGTTATTAATGTCATAAGGGTTTGGGACTGTTATGTCCTTCTTATGAATTGACCATTTTCCACAAATTGACCATGTGAACTTTATTTTAATTTTTTGAGCATGATGTCTTACTCCTTTTATTTATGTTTAAACCAAGTGTGTCTTTATCTTTAAAGGGAATTTCTCATAGGCAGTGTATATTTAGATCTACTAATACTAGTGTGTGAATTCTGGGTTGGGTTTGATTGATTTTTGTCTTTAGTAAAAATCACATTTTACTGTTTCTTTGCATGCTTTGTAATTTTTGATGGGTTGGCAGATATTGTGCATTTTACTTCATTTGGGTGGTAGATATTTTGTTTTCTATAAATATTCTTGAGCTTTTTGTGGGACACAATTAAGTTACTTTGAAATGGCTTGATCTTTTGGGGTCTTTTAAAAAATATGTTAGGTGAAATCAGAATAATATTTGTTGGTTGAGCATGGTGTCTCATTCCTGTAATCCCAGCGCATTGGGAGGCTGTGGTGGGAAGATTGCTTGGGTCCAGGAATTTGAGACCAGCCTGGGCAAAAAAGGGAGATCCTGCCTGCCACTGCACTTCAGCTTGGGCAACAGAGTGTGACTCTGTCTCAAAAAATGAAGAATAATATTTTCTAAATTATTACCTTCTACAGAAGCAAGACCCTCTTATCAATGCTCCATAAATTACACAGTTTTTCAGTATGGTTTCTGGGAATAGGAACTATTTCAAGCTTATTGTGAGCTCTGGATATATTTTCTCTAATCATTTCATGTGGTTCTTTTACCAGCATTGAGGACTTTTCTTCCAGACATGACCTAAACAGTGCTCTACTGAATACTGGATGGGAACCTGTACAGATCTACAGAGCTCACTCTTTGCATAGTCTTCCACTCTCTGGGATTTTTCTCTATAAACTTTAGCCCCCTTGGTCTCTGCAGATGCTTAACTTTGTTTCCTCAACTCAGGGAGTCTGCCTTGTTCCACCTAGGTTCTCCTTCCCTTTTCTGTGTGCTGAAAAATATAAGTAGGCGTAATGATCCAACTCCTTTATTTCCAGATTCTCTGGGACTACTGTCCTTCATTGATTGATCTTCAATGTCTTGAAAATCCTTTTTTTATATATGTTGTTCAGATTTTAAAATATTTTAAGATGGTAAATCATATTTATTATTCTATATTAGTTAGAAGTGAAATTTATATCTATTTGCTTTTTATATAGAAATCAAGCAAAAATATCTTTGAAATTGTTCATATTGCTTTAGTTACAGATATAATACTTGTGGAGATAGGATGTAAAATGAGATCAAAATAGGCTAAACTTGAAAAGTTTCTATATAAATATAGGAACTGAAATTTTAAACTCACTAGAAAGTCAAGTTGTTGAGGTTCATAAGGATTACAGTTGAATGAGGCCTACTTAAGAAATATAAATACATACAGATAAACTTTGAATAGATATGTGCATTTAAATAAATTGGACAACATATTGATAGAGACCAATATAAATATTTTTGGTTCTAAGACAGACATACTTAGTGTATCAAAGATTTTATTTAATTCTGAAACATAAATTTTAGTGGCTGTGCATTCATGTTTTTCTTTAGACAAATATCTATGGTGTTTATTTTGTGATTTTGTACCTTGAGGTACTCTGTCTCCTTAACTTTGGCACTCTGTTTTATATTCTAGTTAGTAGGTGAAGCAAATACTTTAATTTTAAACTATTGTGCTCTACCATATCTGGCTTTTTATTTTATTGCCCAGAATATTTATAATCCTGTATTAAAAACCAAAAATCAAAGAAGATTCTATTATCTTCCACTTTCTTTCTTATAAACCTGTAAGAAGAATTTTCTGAGTTGTTTTTAGGGTATCTCACTGGCCAAACAAACTTTGCTCACAGGTGAAAGTAGCTTGTATCTGGAGTTCCGTATCTTTCTATTTTCTATTTTACTGAGAGGAAAATGATGATTGACTTTTCAAACAGACACAAAGGGCGTGCATACTTTCTGTAATGACTGAACTGGGCTGCTACAATTGCTGAGTCTTTATAAGTAAAGCTATACAGAAGATCAAGTACTTCTGATTTGATTATACAACATAATTCTGTTGCTCTCTTTTCATGCAACATTTACTTAGATTTGTGAGATAAATAACAAAGTTTCTTCAGACATCCTAACCATTAACATATGAACATGACAATCCATGTTGTTATATGTGTGGATCTCTTTTCTCTTCCATATAGCTAATGGAATTAAAACACAAACAAACCTACAACCCTGTCAACTCTATGCAGAGCATTGATTCTTCAGTTTAAGAGTAAATGGCCTTGTATAAATATGTTGATAAGAGAAATAATTTTGGATTACATAAGGTATAAAGTAAAAAACAATATTTTGCCAAAATATTATGCATCGCTTTATTAAGAAATACTTTTATACATAGAGTGGAGAATCAGGGTTATACAAAGTCTTAACTATTCTAATAGATATTTCCAGATCTGGGGCACAAAATTGAATTCAATCAGTGTCTCAGATTTCACATTTATTAAAATAAAGAGGAGCATAGTCTTTGAAAAGTTTTATCTGAATATATGTTAAATTTTCTTTAAGAGAAAATTATATTGTATGTAATTTAAAATTAAAGTAAAATCAAATTTACTTTATGAGCATTTTCCTATTAGATATTATTTCATAACCACTTAGATCATAGAAACTGCATTTAGATGACATTTTAGTCATAATCTTTTAAACTTACTATAGTTTTATTTATCAATTATTACTGTTTTCAAATTATTCAATATCCTTCACTCACTTTCAAAAGAAAAAACAGCATGTAACATCATGTAACACAAACCAATCTATTCTCAATGATTTTATTTTCATTTCTAGTTGTATATTTATAATCAATTATGATATTTCTATGTAGACAAAGATTTATTTTAGTTAAAACAATTATATATTCCTCTTCTTTCATTTTTCTAATAAAATCATCACCAGACATGCAACTTTTTCAGAGAAAAAGAATGACAGACTATAGCTACCTGTTTCTAACTAGATGATACCTGATAAATTTTTAAATTACATAAAATTACTGGAAAAGGGTAATAAGAAATGTTTTAGGTCTTCATTTATATTTTAATATAATAACTTAAATATTTCAAGTTCAACCAACAAAGGTTTATCATAGAAAAATTCTAACATTTCTCTGATTAAAAAATAATGTTGATGGAGAGAACAAAGCAGACATCAAGATTCTTTGAATCTATCATAGTTTTGCTACTGCTTTGCTGACTATGGAATGCATTCCCTTAGGGTTTGCTGACAATTTGAAAGTTAAGAAGGAGGTATCTCTATGAAAAGTCTGGGCTAAATCACTTTTGCTTTAAAACATTCACACTGTTTTGATGTTATTTAATACAAACAGTCAAATGTCTCAGGCTTAGTGTATTATTTACTTTGTGTGTAATGACATATTTCAACCTTGCCTGCATACCTACCTATCCTCAGTTATTTATTCATTTTCACAACCTAATTCCCCATATATGTCTTTGATCTCATCCTCTCTTTCCTCATTTGCTTCCTCAGCCATTTCTTTTAGTGACGTATCTTTCATCTCGTCCTTTTTAAATTGATTCTTTCCTTTTAGGATATAAACACATTTCATATATTTTTCTTTATTTAAAACAATACTCTACCTTTAATCTTGATTTTTCTCCCAGATGCCAAACAATCTTCCTACTACACTTCTTGACAGAATAGAAAACATTTATTGTTTCTATGTCAGGATATTCTTCAGAGTCTTTCCAGGGGACTTTTAGCTACACTTATCACTATGCCCTTTTCTGGGAATAATCTGACAGCCTCTCTGATATTGTCAGATTTTTTTCTTTTTATAATGAGTTATTACTTAAGTGTTGTCAAGACAGAAATTATTTTTTTTCTCAAGACAGAATGTTGTTGTGCTTGGGTCTCAGAGGCATAAATTATAGCCACTAGCAATGTGACAGGATTAAATTCAGCATGATTAAAATTGAGAGTGGGCTGAATAAACTCACTAAGGGAAGAACAACCCTTCCTTCTCGCATGTTTACTACAAATGTAAACAACTTCCCTTTTGAAATTATAGATAATTTATTTTTCTTCTCATTTAGCTTAAACATGAATGTAATAGCCTGTTATAGTCAAAGGTTCATTGATGACATTAGTCAACACACTTTAAAATCTGTAGGATGTAGTTTAAAATATCAATAATGTATTGTTTTCCCTAATTGGAATTAATGCCTTATAGGGCATATTTTACTCACATGGGGTATTTTTGTTACAAAAGGAGAACTCCATCTATCGACTTCCATAGGGATCATGCTTAATATACAAGCAGATCAAGCATGATCTATTTGAAAGAATGATAAGCTTTAAACTAACTTGTGGCACTGTGCTGTAGTCAGCTTATAGACCGTAGAATAATCAAGATAAGCAAGAAACAATTTGTAAGTTTTATTGCACATTCTTTTAAAATTCAAGTAAATGTACATAAAACTAACAAAAAAAATATGTTCAATCATTATGGTAAGCAATATCAGCCTGTACAAAGCAGTTTACCATTCACTTCAATCAAGGCAGTTAGTTTCAATGATTTCCTAATGCTTTCCAACAACACAGAACACTGGTAAATAGAATATCTTCTTGTTCATTCTATAATCTTAAATATCAGTGAAAGCATAGTGGCTATTGATGAATGCTGAGTAGATTCATTGTGTCAGGTTTCAAAGTTATCCCAGTTCTTAGTTTTACATTGAGAAACACAACAAAATGGATATCACACAGCCTTAATTGAAAGTGTTTGGTCCATGGCTGGGCGCGGTGGCTCACGCCTGTAATCTCAGCAGTTTGGGATGCCGAGGCGGATGGATCACGAGGTCAGGAGATAGAGAGCAGCCTGGCCAACATGGTGAAACCCCATCTGTACTAAAAATACAAAAAATTAGCCTGGCGTGGTGGCACGCGCCTGTAGTCCCAGCTACTCGGGAGGCTGAGGCAGGAGAATTGCTTGAACCCAGGAGGCGGAGGTTGCAGTGAGCCGAGATCGCACCACTGCAATCCAGCTTGGGTGACAGAGTGAGACTCTGCCTCAAAAAAAAAAAAAAAAAAAAAAATTGTTTGGTCCTTAGGATAAGGCACATTTTATAAAAGAAAATTTTAAGTTTTGGGAAATGGGCAATTACTTATTTTTCTTCTCATTTAGATTAAACATGAACATAAGAACCTGTTATAGTCAAAGTTTCATTGATGACATTAGTCAACACATATTCTTACCTCTACAAATATTCTTATCTCTGAAGCAAACACCTTATATACAGCTAAATTGTATGTGTAACAACAACCCCTGATTTAGAAAGTTCAACAGCTTTTGCTCCTTAAGAACAAAGTACTGCGTGTTGTCTGTGCTTATAGATCTCTGCTATAGAATCCTAGGAACATATTAAATAATGATGCTATAGTGTTAGTGCAATTCTGCTCACCTTTATGGACATTCTTTCAGTTTACTTTGCAGGATCTACTCAGCCATTAAATGTTGGTTTTCTGCAGGGTCTTCTTATCACTTTTAAACTCTTTCCTTAGGCCAGTGGTTCTCAGAGACCTGGGATCACCAGCGTGGTCATTACCCAGGAGCTTGTTAGATAGGTGAATTCTCAGCCCGCACACTAGACTTACTGAGTCAGAAACTTCAGGAATGGGCCCCAGCAATCTGTGTTTTAATAATCCCTCCAGTTTATTTTGATGGATGTTCATGTTTGAGAACCACTGTCCTAGCTGTTCTCACCTATCTATGCCTATGGCTTCAAACACCATTTCAATGCAGATAACTCACAAATTATCTCCAGTTTAGTCCTCTTCTCTGAGCTCCAGGCTAAGAGGAAACTATGTGAAACTCCCTAGGATGTCTCACAGATACCTCTAACTCTACACGTCCACAGACCAAACTCTTAGTCTCGTCCTTAAAATTCTGGTCCTCTTCCAGTGTTCCATATCTCATTGAAAATTACAATGAAATCCATCTTGTTATATAAGCCAGAAGCCTAGAAGTCATCCTTGACACATTATCTCCCTCAATTCCTGTAGCCAAGTTGTTGATTTTACTTCCTAAAGGTATCTTGTATATATCCACTTGTTTTGTTTCATTCCCACCATTCTAGCCTCTAACAGGCTCTTATGTACGTGCTTAATCCAAATGAGAAGAAAAATAAATAAGTGCCCATTTCCCACAACTTAAAATTTTCTTTTCTAAAATGTGCCTTATCCTAAGGACCAAACACTTTCAATTAAGGCTGTGTGATATCCATTAAAAACAGCATAAAACACAAAAAGATTTATATAGAACAAAACAATATCATTAATACTGTAAAAGGCTATCTTATGTGCAAATGTACAATTAAACAATAATGTCCTTAACAATCTTGCTTCTCGTATATTGGGTCACTACATGAACACTTTCTCCCATAATTTACCTAGATCTGGAATTTTTTTTAAAAAAAGTTTGCTGCATCAACAACAGCTGACCTTTATTACTCATTAATTTTCTTCTTATGCAATCTCTGCCAGTAAGTCAACATTTGATGCACAATATCCATTATCCTTGGTATGATTCTGTTTGAGTATACTACTACTGAAACTAAAATAGTCAAACTCAAGTAAGGATATGCCCTGCTCAGACTTCAAGTCTTTTGTTTTTACTCTGTATTTAAATCAAATTCAGTGAATGTTCTTTCTCTATATATCAATGTTTCAACATTTTTCATAGTCAGATCCTTCAATGTGTCAGTGTTCCTGTTCCCTAATTTTAAGTATTTTAAAGCCACTATATTTCTGTGCTGTTGTTGTTTTTTATAGTAAGTATAAATCTACTGCAATTGACAAAAGGTTTATCCAAACACAATTCTTATTAAAATTAAGAAATTCAGCAATTGAGTGATAATCCAGCAGTGGAAATTCAAAGTTACTCTTATAGCTTAAGGCACTTAGGTTGTTTCCAAAAGGCAAAGGGAATTATGATGTTAAAAAATAAATAATTCAACATAGTCTAGGTTAAAAGTGTAGGTTATACCTAAAAAGGAATTGAAGTCGAACATAATAGCAGCAACAATAAAAAATGGGGATATTCCTCATTGTTTGTGCAAGTAGTAAACTAAAAATATACCATGATCCTTGCAATAAATGTATTCACAAGAGATGCGTGTCATTCCTATTTGTTTCTAAATCATATATTCTCACTGAAAAATGGTTACCTTATAGGCAAAGTATCATTAGTCTAAAAAAATCTCACTACTTTAAAAAAAGTCAGTTATTAAGTAAAGGTTACTTTGTAATGTGATTATTTTATAATGTGAGTTATCAATTATTAATTTATCTGCTTTAAAATTGAAATTTTCAGTCTGTTAAGTATTTATACATTAGAAAACATTATAAACTTGAATAGAAATATTTCTTCTCTGCAATTCCATAATATTGGTATCACAGAATCAGCAATAGTATCTTTATATAATCTAGCAGAATAACCCACTTAGTCTACTAGGATAGTCAATGTAAATTATGTAGTTCATTTTCCTTATATAGACTTAAATTTAGTCTAATAGGGCAAAATATCCCTTAAGAAGGGTAATAAATAATCTGACTCCACTTTAGATATTTGATTGCTGATAGTTTTCAAGCTCTACCCTCCTCCCTCTCCCTCATATGCTAGAAACTTAATCCCAGCCTCAGCTCCTAAATATTAGAAAAACTAAGCTTTTTTTTTTTTTTTTTTTTTTTTTTTTTGAGACAGAGTCTCACTCTGTCACCCAGGCTGGAGTGCAGTGGTGCAATCATGGCTTACTGAAGCTTCGACCTCCTGGGCTCAAGCGATCCTCCTACCTCAGCCTACCAAGTAGCTGGGACCACAGATGCCTGCCACCATGCCCTACTAATTTTTTAGTTTTTTATGCAGACAGGTTTTCCTTATGTTGTGCAGACTGGTCTTGAACTCCTGGGGTCAAGAGATCCTCCTGTCTGAGCCTCCCGAAGTGCTGGGATTACAGGCCTGAGCCACCACACCCTGACCTCAAGTTATTTTTGGATCGGCAGGAATGCCTGTCTTGCTCTCCCCGGAAAGCATCATTATGCAAATAATAAACATTTTCATAGTGTCCTGGTGTGTATGTGGTGTCTTGACCTCTTAACCAAAGTTGAGGTTGAGGGTGGGGGATTCATTCCACCTCTGTGGCGTGACCAACATATGAAACACTGATTAAAAAGGAAAGGTATAGTTCTGAGCAAAATAAAGAAATATAGTACTGACAATGATTCACCAAGTCCTGTATTAATTTGGTTTCTGTTTTCCAAAA
The DNA here is from genome assembly GCF_000001405.40 of Homo sapiens. Classification (NCBI taxonomy): domain Eukaryota; kingdom Metazoa; phylum Chordata; class Mammalia; order Primates; family Hominidae; genus Homo; species Homo sapiens. The sequence goes on along the minus strand of NC_000023.11, from coordinate 84,907,592 downwards.
CCAAAATATAGGTAAATATTAGAAAGAAAATAATCTTATGGTGTCCACTAGATGGCAGGGGCCAACTTTTATTCCTAGGAATTTCCATTCTAGAATACCCAAAGTTTTCAGTCCAGGGAGCTATCTGTTAACAATATACATGAATTTGAGGGTAAATTGTTAGAGATGTGATTAATACGACTGTTTATTCTTTTTACCATTTAGTGAATTACCCCTAGTGTCAAATGACCTGGGCTTTTGAGTAGCTAAATCTCTTCCACTTTGAAAATAAGAATGGGTTTCTTTTGCCCTTCCTCATCTCCTTCACTGGTAGATAAATCACTCCTCCACATCACGGGACAAATGTAAAAGTTACAAGCTCTTTCAGGGCAATATCTTACACACAGGTAAGTACTGTCTAGACATACTCTCTAGTCCACATTAATGAAAAATTATGCAATCTTATAGTTGGAAAGCTACTTAAAAAAAGCAATTTGTTTCTACTTCTTACTTCAGGCTTGAATACTTAAGCCTCCAGGACACAGTTTAAGATATTAAAAGGTGGAAACTATATCACTTTCCTCAATAGCCAATTCTGGTCATATATTTTATTTTATAGATAATTCAAGCTCTCCAGCTTCAACTTAAACACGTATTTTTGCAATTTTATTTTTAATTTTCAACTGCCTTTTTGTATAATTTTTTAAAAATACTAAGTTGTAATAATTATGTAACTCTACCACTAAAACACACTGATTTATTTAACTTTTCTTCATGGAATCTATTTTTATATCCCTGTGATTAGGATTTATTTCTCTTCCCTGAATCATCCCAAGTTTCATTTCATCTGTTCTGAAGCTATATAAACTATATGCTATGACTTATATGTAATGTATATCATATATTATTGTATTTCTTATATATTATATATAATTATATATTATATACTAAGATATATAATAGTAAGAATATAACCTAATAGAGAAAGTATGACATCTAGTAACTTATAGATACTTATCTCTTCAATATCTCCTAGTACTATACTGGTATTCTCCAAACATCTTAATTTTAGCACTTATATAATAAACTAAATGGATGACTTTGGCTTCCAAAGCTTTTTTCTGCTATTTTGATGGTGGTAGATTTTTTCCAAGTTCTTCGACTGAGTTTCTTCAAAATTTGTTACAACCATTAACATAATTTATCATACATATTCTAGAATATTAGCCCAGAGCAGAAGCAGAAGTCATTCTATTTCTTTTTGATCCATTGCCTGATTTCCTATAGGTCCTTGGTTGTAGAACTAAGTTAATGTATGTGGTTTTATTAAGTCAACAAAAGGGAAAAGAACAATTTGATGCTGATTGATTCTTCTCCCAAGCTTGCTGATGATTTTATGCACACATTCTTTAATTATAGGAATCTGGCTATAGGATGGGCAGCATATCATTTGAAGAACATTGTAAATTAGTAGGTATTGTAATATAGTAAGTTAGAAAAAGACTTGATAAAAATATATAAATCCTATGACTCTTCCCCCAAAGAAAGGTAACTGGTAATTTTAATATTTTGCAGATAAAATGAAGAAAGGTGAAAAATGAACTAAAGTGGTAAGCTAATTTGAAAGTAATAGAACTATTGTGTTAATCTTATAGAATCTATTATTCATAAATTCCAGTCACAGCATAATGCTGGAACACCGGTATTCTGGACAAACTATTTGAAAATTTAAAATTATATATGTACCTTACATTATATTTCTATTGTACAGTGCTGATCTGGACTTTGAACTTAAGGATGTATTTGTTGGTTTCTTCTGCAACATGGAGCCAAGTCAATTTGGAATTCAGGTGGATATATAAAATCATCTCAGCCTTGATATTCTACAAAAGAAATGGAAAAGGGAAAGAAAAAAAGGATGTAAAGAAAAAACTGAATAGAGTGTGTTAGCCATTGAAATGAAGAGCCAAGAGCCAGGTCACCAGAGTGATAATGAACAACAGTTTTGTAGACTGTTTATTAAAGAAAGAATGCAGTTTGCTTACCATGCATTTGAGATATTAGGTTGGTGAAAAAGTAATGGCAAAAACCACTATTACTTTTGCATCAACCTAATATTAATAGCTTTCTGCAAAGTGAATGGACCATGAATTTAGTAAACCAGCTATGGTAACAGCATACTCTTAAGTTAATGACTACACAGAATTACTTCAAAATACACAAATAGTTCTCAACATCAATAGGGCATGAACAGAAGAAATACATACATGTAGATACATACAGAAGAAAAAATATATCCCAAAAGGCCAGAAAAGGGTGGTGATAGTAACATTTAACGTATTTCTAAACCTTAAGTTTCCTAATATAGGATGGTTATTACATACATCAATTATTTTTATTTTGAAAACTCTTTAAAAATATCTAAAAATGAAGTTGCCAAGCATGAAATTGTTTAGCATATGGGCATCACAGAGCAGTATTTGAAATGTGGTCTTTTTAATATACCATTTTCTCTCCCTCTCTCTGGTATTACAAGCAACCCATAATTTTTCTAAGAAATTGTCATGAAATGGCAAAAGGTTGGACATCACTCAACTTATTTATAGAGGTTACTAAGATCTGGTTGTTATAATTATACCAATGCTTACCAAGTCACTTATTCTTTTTGAGTCACAATTTCTTCAAGAATAAAAAAGGGGAACCAACTATTGATATGCTGTGATGTTTGTAACATGCATTACAATTCCCAAGGGAAAGATTCTATTAAAGTTATATAAAAATATAAACCTAGCAATCACTGAATTAAAAAATCAAAATCTCATACATTTAATAATAATCTGACAAAAGGCCACATGGAAAAAAATGCTCACAAAGCCGATCCATTAAAAAAGGCACTGGAACTTTGATTTAGCTTGTATTAAGATAATTAATTGTAAGAATGTTCTGTCAGTGAAATGAAAACATGGTGAATACAATTTAGTATTTTTTCTGTTTAATTTGGAAAAGAATAAGATGAATGATATTCATCAGGTTATTAATACAATATAAAATGATTTGATATTTCATAACTGGTCTTAAAAATTTTCACATTTGAAATAGAAGATTTTTCACATTGGTTGGAGAAGAGGGAATAGAATAATATGATGAGGAGTGATATTTACTGATGACTTATTATGTGATAGACGCTATGCAAAGGTAATTTACATGCATTAATTCATTGAATCATCACAACTGTTCATTAATTTAGTTAATATCAATTGAGCAACATACATTGTGCCACATATTGAGGCATGTGAACTGTTGGGGTTAGAAGTTCTGGGAACAGAGAGGTAGTACTTGTGAAAGCAGAAGACAGACATTGGTACAAGAGTCACAAAACAAAAGTAAAATTACGAGTGTGCTAAATGCTGTGAAGTAGAGGTACATAATGCTATGAGAGCTAATAAGTGATCAAGTTGGTGGGCAGGGAGGGATTAGGGAAGGCTTTCCTAAAAGAATCATATATTAAAGTGAGCTCTCAAGGAAGACTAGGAGTTACCCAGGTCATGGAGTATTATAGGAAAAATGGAAAACATATGCAGAGGTTCTGTAGGTGGATGGAACTTAACACATTAGAGAAACTAAAAGAAGGCCAACATGGCTGGAATGTAAAAACCACAGTGGTGCATGGTATAAGATGTGACTCGAGAGGTATAGAATCCATGCAATGCCTGGTAATTCTTTTTACGGATTTTTTTTAGTCTAAAAATAATGAAAAGTTATTGATAGCTTTAAATAAAGGGGATGGATGGAAAAGTGGAGTGAGGAGAAGGAGTGGTGATATGATCACATTTATATTTTAAGAAAATGTTTCTCTGATTAGAATGGTAGAACAGATTAGAGGGGGGCCAAAGTGAACATGGGGAGACAGGTCAGAGGCTATTGAAAGGGTTCAGGCTGGGCACAGTGGCTCAGGCCTGTAATTTTAGTGCTTTGGGAGGTGGAGCTGGAAAGACAGCTTGAGGCCAGGAGTTTGAGACCAGTCTGGGCAACAGAGTGAGACTCCATCTCAAAAAACAAACAAAAAACATTAGATCTCATGAAAACTCACTATCATAAGAACAGTATGGGGGAAACCACCCCTATGATTTAGTTATCTCCACCAGGTCCCACCCTTGACACTTGGTGATTATGACAATGCAAGATGAGATTTTGGATGGAGACACAGCCAAACCATACCATTTATATAATATAGTGATCCAGGTATATTTCTCTTTTCCAAATTTTTTGAAAGTTACCCAAAACTATCCATTGAATAATCCATCTTTGCCCCATTGATATGACAAACCCACAGCCAATATCATACTGAATGGGCAAAACCTGGAAGCATCCCCTTTGAAAACTGGCACAAGAGAGGGATGCCCTCTCTCACCACTCCTATTCAACATAGTGTTGGAAGTTCTGGCCAGGGCAATCAGGCAGGAGGAGGAAATAAAGGGTATTCAATTAGGAAAAGAGGAAGTCAAATTGTCCCTGTTTGCAGATGACATGATTGTATATTTAGAAAACCCCATCGTCTCAGCCCAAAGTCCCCTTAAGCTGATAAGCAACTTCAACAAAGTCACAGGATACAAAATCAATGTGCAAAAATCACAAGCATTCTTATACACCAATAACAGACAAACAGAGAGCCAAATCATGAGTGAACTCCCATTCACAATTGCTACAAAGAGAATAAAATACCTAGGAATCCAACTTACAAGGGAGGTGAAGGACCTCTTCAAGAACTACAAACCACTACTCAATGAAATAAAAGAGGATACAAACAAATGGAAGAACATTCCATGCTCATGGATAGGAAGAATCAATATTGTGAAAATGGCTATACTGCCCAAGGTAATTTATAGATTCAATGCCATCCCCATCAAGCTACCAATGACTTTCTTCACAGAATTCGAAAAAACTGCTTAAAGTTCATATGGAACCAAAAAGGAGCCTGCATTGCCAAGACAATCCTAAGCCAAAAGAACGAAGCTGGAGGCATCATGCTACCTGACTTCAAACTATACTACAAGGCTACGGTAACCAAAACAGCATGGTACTGGTACCAAAGCAGAGATATAGACCAACGGAACAGAATAGAGGCCTCAGAAATAACACCACACATCTACAACCATCTGATCTTTGACAAATCTGAGAAAAACAAGCAATGGGGAAAGGATTCCCTATTTAATAAATGGTGCTGGGAAAACTGGCTAGCCATATGTAGAAAGCTGAAACTGGATCCCTTCCTTACACCTTATACAAAAATTAACTCAAGATGGCTTAAAGACTTACATGTTAGACCTAAAACCATAAAAACCCTAGAAGAAAACTTAGGCAATACCATTCAGGACATAGGCATGGGCAAGGACTTCATGTCTAAAACACTAAAAGCAATGGCAACAAAAGCCAAAATTGACAAATGAGATCTAATTCAACTAAAAAGCTTCTGCACAGCAAAAGAAACTACCATCAGAGTGAACAGGCAACCTACAGAATGGGAGAAAATTTTTGCAATCTACTCATCTGACAAAGGGCTAATATCCAGAATCTATAATGAACTCAAACAAATTTACAAGAAAAAAACAAACAACCCCATCAAAAAGTGGGCGAAGGATATGAATAGACACTTTCCAAAAGAAGACATTTATGCAGCCAACAGACACATGAAAAAATGTGCATAATCACTGGCTGTTAGAGAAACGCAAATCAAAACCACAATGAGATACCATCTGATACCAGTTAGAATGGTGATCATTAAAAAGTCAGGAAACAACAGGTGCTGGAGAGGATGTGGAGAAATAGGAACACTTTTACACTGTTGGTGGGACTGTAAACTAGTTCAACCATTGTGGAAGACAGTGTGGCCATTCCTCAAGGATCTAGAACTAGAAATACCATTTGACCCAGCCATCCCATTACTGGATATGTACCCAAAGGATGATAAATCATGCTGCTATAAAGACACATACACACATATGTTTATTGTGGCACTATTCACAATAGCAAAGACTTGGAACCAACCCAAATGTCCGTCAATGATAGACTGGATTAAGAAAATGTGGCACATATACACCACGGAATACTATGCAGCCATAAAAAAGATGAGCTCATGTCCTTTGTAGGGACATGGATGAAGCTGGAAACCATCATTCTCAGCAAACTATCACAAGGACAAAATACCAAACACCACATGTTCTCACTGATAGTTGGGAATTGAACAATGAGAACACTTGGACACAGGAAGGGGAACATCACACACTGGGGCCTGTCATGGGGTGGCAGGATGGGGGAGGGATAGCATTAGGAGATATACCTAATGTAAATGACGAGTTAATGGGTGTAGCACACTAACATGGCACATGTATACATACATAACAAACCTGCACATTGTGCACATTTACCATAGAACTGAAAGTATAATAATAATAATAAAAGAAATATTGCCTTTAGTATATTTTTCACATATTTTTCACATATTTATCCTGTCTCTGGATTTTCTTATTCATTTCACTAGAATACTTATATATTTTTATTTTTGCCAGTATATTAATTATTATACATTTAGAGTATATTTTAGAATTTTTTGGGGTAGATTACCTTCTAATTAAACTTAGTATTTTTATCTGGGATTTCTCTCACAGTTTTTATTCTCCCAGATGAACTTTTAGAGTTAGAGTCAACCTCTGAAAAAATCCCATCAAAATTTTGATTAAAGTAGCATTACATTTAAAGTTAATTTGAAATATTTGAGATTTGTCGTATTTACTATATTGACTGTTCTAAGCCAGAAATGTGGCCATATAACTCAACATTTATCTATCATTTCCTCTATGAAAATTTTACATTTTATTCTCACACATCTTACACATTTTATATTGTTTATTCTTGTGTATTTTATCATTTTTGTTGCAATTTTAGGAAAAAAGTATATTTCCGGGCTATCATTTTATTGTTACATAATGGATGCCACAAATGGTGTAATTCCAACAATTTGTGATCTCATTTTCTATGTGTAGATAGAGAGCCTAAAACTGTACAGCTCTAACTAAAATTTAAATAAGTTATGGTTTAAGCAAAAATAACTGTTATTTGGCACAAATAAACACTTAACTGTTTTTCACTGTAATTCAGTGATAATAGATAGACTTACTTTCCTTCCTGGTACACTTACATTGTGAAGCAACCAGTAGAGAGTTGACTGTTTCACAATAAGCCAGTATATTTTCCATTTAAAAAAGGGGATTCTTCTAGACTGTCTTTTCTTCCAGAGCCATCTCTTGCATTTCCTATGGCCAAGGTAAACAACATTAAGAACATGATTGAAATCAGACGTTGGCTCTTTTATCTCTTCAGAGCATCTCAGTGTAATAGACATGAAAATTTAGTCTCAGCCTCAGAAATAACACCACACACCTGCAACCATCTGATTGTCAACAAACCTGACAAAAACAAGCAATTGGAAAGAATCTCCTATTTAATAAGAGGTGCTGGGAAAACTGGCTAGCCATATGCAGAAAACTGAAACTGGACCCCTTCCTTATACCTTATACAAAAATTAACTCAAGATGAATTAAAGACTTAAATGTAAAAACCAAAACCATAAAAACCCTAGAAGAAAACCTAGGCAACACCATTCAGGACATAGGCATGGGCAAAGACTTCATGACAAAAATGCCAAAAGCAATTGCAACAAAAGCCAAAATTACAAATGGGATCTAATTAAACTAAAGAGCTTCTGCACAGCAAAAGAAACTATCATCAGAGTGAACAGGCAACCTACAGAAAGGGAGAACATTTTTGCAATCTACCCCTCTGAGAAACATCTAATATCCAGAATGTATAAGGAACTTAAACAAATTTACAGGACAAAAAACAAACAACCTCATCAAAAAGTGGGCAAAGGATATGAACAGACACTTCTCCGAAGAAGACATTTACGCAGCCAACAAACATATGAAAAAAAACTCAACATCACTGATCGTTAGTGAAATGCAAATCAAGACCACAATGAGATATCATCTCACGCCAGTCAGAACGGTGATTATTAAAAAGTCAAGAAACAATAGATGCTGGTGAGGCTGTGGAGAAATAGAAACACTTTCACACTGTTAGTGGGAATGTAAATTTGTTCAACCATTGTGGAAGACAGTATGGCAACTCCTCAAGGATCTAGAACCAGAAATACGACTTGACCCAGCAATCCCATATGAAGTATTCTAGTATAAAGACACATGCACACGTGTGTTTTTTGCAGCACCATGTACAATAGCAAAGCCATGGAACCAACCCAAATACCCATCAGTGATAGACTGGATAAAGAAAATTTGGTACATATACACTGTGTAATACTATGCAGCCATAAAAAGGAATGAGATCATGTCCTTTGCAGGGATATGGATTAAGCTGGAAGCCACCATCCTCAGCAAACTAACAGAGGGTCAGAAAACCAAACATCACATGTTCTCACTCATAAGTGAGAGTTGAACATTGAGAACACATGGACACGGGGATGGAAACAACACACACCAGGGCCTCTTTGGGTGGTGGGGGGCAAAGGGAGGGAACTTACAGGACAGGTCAATAGGTGCAGCAAACCACCATGGCACACATATACTTATGTAACAAACCTGCACGTTCTGCACGTGTATCCTGGAATTTAAAGTAAAATTTTTAAAAAAAAAAGAAAGAAAGAAAAACATATTTGAATTCCTTAAATGCATGTATTGCTTTTCCTAGAAATCCCAAGGCAAATTTATTCATAAAATTAGTTATTTTATTTTTAAAATTAAGTGTATATTATTATATTAATTAAAATTTTGTTACAACTATATGCCATTGTAACTTGTGGTTGCACTTTTAAAAACTCATCACTCTGGCCAGACGCAGTGGCTCACGGCTGTAATCCCAGCACTTTGGGAGGCCGAGGTGGGAATCACCTGAGGAGTTTGAAACCAGCCAGACCAACATGGAGAAACCCTGTCTCTACTAAAAATACAAAATTAGCCGGGCGTAATGGTGCATGCCTGTAATCCCAGCTACTCAGGAGGGTGAGGCAGGAGAATCACTTGAACCCAGGAGGTGGAGGTTGCAGTGAGCCGAGATCATGCCATTGTACTCCAGCCTGGGCAGCATGAGCGAAACTCCATCTCAAAAACGAAACAAAACAAAACAAAACAAAACAAAAAACAAACAAAAAAAATCTCATCACTCCAGGGTCCAGCTTACAACTGTTATACTAATTATCAAATTACTGTTGCTTTATTCTGGACTCTCACACAGTTATACTAGTATGAGAAAGTTCTCCCTTAAGTTTCAGTTGAATACTGAAGTCACTATAATTTGGAGAGTTTATGCACAGAGAATGGGTCTCTTCACAAAGCCAAACCAAATTATACATTTTTCCTACCTTTTAAGAGCCTGTTACTGAAGATAACAGTTTAACTTAGATTTCTAAAACCATGCTATTGCTTATGCAGTATGTCACTTTGTGTGAGTTCACACATATATAAATGTGTGAGGAGGATGAGATATCTGAGATTGCAATAATTTTTCAAAATTTTTTCTTCAAACTATGGCCACTACCACTTCCTTCTACTGTAGAAGGGGGCTTTTCCAGATATACTCTTTTTCAGCACATTAGAACCACAGAATTGTTGAGCTAGAAGAGACTTTAAAGATCGTCTAGCTCAATCCTTTGCTTTATAGATAGAGAAATAAGGCCAAGTAATATTTGTCATGTTATTGTTAGTTGGTGATAGAGTTTGATCTAGAACGCAGTTCTCCAATTATAGCACCTGCCTATCTTTGCCCATTAATCCCTGGTGAAATTGCTTAGGATCCCTGTATTTTAAGAATCTGTACTGGCTTTATATTAAGGATGAATGTTATAAGGGTTTATTAAAACATCAATTTTGAAATGTGGGTCTTGTTCACTGAGAATAGATTGGGTAAAATCATGACAGTGAAAATCTATGCACATATTAGAAATCATCAAAGGTGGGCTTCTTATAGAAATGATCCCATCACGATGTTAAAAAAATCCCCAAGTATCTGAAAAAAGGTCGCTTTTTAATTAAATAAGAGAAAATGAAGTGGAGTCTCTATTTGTGAACAATTCCTCTGTGTTTTCTGGAAGATGAAAAATAATAGATCATGACAAAAATACCTGAGTATTTAACATATAGCTGTTAGATCTTTTATGCTTCCCCTACTTGATGACTTTCAAAACTAAATAGCAGTCACATTATTTTTACCCATCTTTATTTTTTAAAACCTAATTTACTGTCTCACATAATTTACCCAAATTTATAATCTGATTAGCTGGCACACGTGAATTCATAGAACAGTAAAGCCCAACCATCTATCTCATGCTATCACTATAGATGGTTAAACCTAGGAAAAAAACATAATAGCAGATATGGATAGATTAATAGCTGTAGCTGGTAGTAACTGCTTATACAATTTTAAAGTGTTCAACTTTAATTCCAATAAAATTACATTATGAAACTGGGGTAGTTTTAAAAATGACTGATAAAAGGAAAATATATACACTCAAGTAAAGTTTTGAGTCATATTCAATTCTTAGACCCCTAGTGTGTGCACTCCTTTGGATTAACCATGGCTATCAGAAAATTTTCGTTTGACATATACACATATAAATAACTACCTGGTTACCTGACCACTCTTAAAATATTCTGTAACATTTTTGAGATGGAGAGTCAAATGTCAATGTTTTGCTTTAGCTCTCCTGTTAGACTAGGCAATAGTACTTTAACTTTCATTTGAAATTATAGAAGTAATGTATAAGCACAGTAAAAAAATAAACAGTGCATAGAAGAGATTTTTATTTATATCAAGAATTGTTATTAAAAGTATTGAATAACTTTTCTGTATCTATTGAGTTGTTAATACATGGATTTCCTTTTTTAGTCTTAAATGAATTAGACTAATAAGGCTTCTTCTAAATTAACCTTGAGTTTCTGGAGTAAATCCTACTTAGGCATGCTGTCTTGTTCTTGTAATACACTACTGGAAGGTGAGTGGTAAAGATGGCCAAATAGAAGTAGCTGGGGTGCATGGCTCTCCACAGAGAGGAATGGAAGGGGTGAGTAAATACACACCTTCAACAGGAACATCCAGGTACTCACATTGGTACTAATCAAGGAAACAACTCAACCCAACCAGAACAGATAAAAGCAAGGCAGGATGATGGCCCACCTGGGAGTGACATGGAGTTAATGGAACCTCCACAACCCAGTGAAGTGGTGAATAAATGTGCAGCCTTGGGAAACCATGCTTCTTCTATGGATCTTTGCAAGCCTAAGGTCAAGAGATAACCCTGTGAACCCACTCCACCAGGGCCTTCAGTCTGACACACAGAGCTACCTAGCGTCTCAGACAAGCAGCTGCTCAGGCACATATGGAATCCTGGGAGCTTTAGATTCTCTAGCTTTCTGGGCATCCCAGCAAAAGTAACTGCAACTCTGGCAAAGTGGTGACAGGAGTTAGCTAGCTTGCCTTAGATAGACAAGGCAAGGGTCTCTGGAGAGCCCCTGACTCATGGGTCAGTGCCTCATCCCCACATAACATAAAAAGCAGCCTGAGAAAAAAATCAAGCTGCAGGCACTAATAAGAGAACTAGCACAAGGAGTTGTGCCTGGAAACATGCTCACAGCTGCACAGATAGGAGAACCTCCAGCCCATTCAGGTAAAAACTTGCACCAACCTCCAGCTCACTCACATAAGGGAACAAGACCTGACATAGAAATGCCTTTGTCCTTTGTATAATCAGTGGGCTTACAGGAAAATGTTTTTTCTCCTTTTGTGGGCATGAACACAGTGGGCTCCATTGGGTTCTGGTGGGTACTTTCCTTTCCTTTTTGGATTGTGAGCCCAGCCTCTATGGATCATCACTTCAGCTCCTGATTGGTCCTGGGTCAAGGTCCCGGGCAAAGCTTTCACTTCAGCTCCTGATAGGTCCCGGGCCAAGCTGGGCAGCCTCTGTGAATAATCCCTTCAGCCCTTGATTGGTCCCGGGCCAAGTTTTCTTTATTTCCTGAGACAGAGTCTTGCTCTGTCACCAGGCTGGAGTGCAGTGGCGTGATAACGGCTCACTGCAACCTCTGCCTCAGCCTCCTGAATAGCTGGGACTACAGGCGTGTGCCACCATGCCCAGCTAATTTTTGTATTTTTAGTAGAGATGGGGTTTCACCATGTTGGCCAGGATGGTCTCAATCTCTTGACCTTGTGATCTGCCTTGGCCTCCCAAAGTGCTGGGATTGCAGGCGTGAGCTGCTCCGTCAAGCCCCATGCCAAGTTTTCTAATTGGTCCCAGGCCAAGGCGAGTCATGTATTCTCCAAGACAGCCTGCAAACTAAGCACATTCTTTCCTTTTCCCTATCCGTAAAACAATGGACCCTAGCCTCATAGGGGGCAACTCATTCGGGCTCCCCTCTCTGCTGGCAGAGAGCTTTCTGCTTTTGCTTACTAAATCAGCCTTGTCTCTGTGCTCCTATATTATCTTGGACGTGAGGCAAAGAACTCCGGGTGTTATCTCAGACAGTGAGAGACTGCTACATCTTGGTGCGTTGAGAATACAACAGTGGGAGATTAAATTCATGTACCTGCCCCTAGGAAAAAGGCTGAACCCAGAAGTCAAGCACTGATGGTCTAAGGGCCCCAATTTCATGGCACCTCACAGGATAACACCCACAGGCTTGGAATTCCAGCCAGCCACCAGTAGAAGTGCTGCACTTCCCTGGCACAGAGCTCCTACGGGGAGGGGTGAACTGCCATCTTTGCTGTTTGGGCAACTTAGCTATTCCAGTCTGTGGGCTTTGGAGAGTCCAAATTGACCGGGGGAGGAAGGGATCCCCAGGCACAGCACAGCTACTCTACCAAAATTTTGCCAGACTGGTTCTTTAAGTGAGTCCCCAATCCATTCCTCCTCACTGGGCTGAACCTCCCAAGTGGGGCCTCCAACCACTGCCACCAATGTTTTCTGGCCAACAGTAATTTGAAAACTCCCTGTGACAGAGCTTCCAAAGGGAGGGATGGGCTGCCATATTTCCTGTTTGGGTAAATTAGCCATTCCAGCCTGCAGGTTTTGGAGAACCCAAGCTGACTGAAGCAGAAGAGGTATACCAGCACAGCACAGCTGCTATATTAAAGCCTGGCCAGACTTCTTCTTTAAGCTGCTCCCCACTCCTATTCCACCTCTCTGGGTGAAACCTCCCAACTGGGGCTTCCATTCACCCCTGCCAATGTTCTCCAGAAGACAGCCATTTGAAAACTCCCAGGAACATAGCTCCCGAGAGGGAGGGGCAGGCCACCATTTTTGCTGTTTGGGTGACTTAGCCTTTCCAGCTGGTGGGCTTTGAAGAGCCCAAACCAACTGAGGTGGAAGCAGTACCCCAGCAGAGCACAGCTACTCTGTGAAAGCATGCATGGACACACTGTATTTTTACACAGGTCTCTCACCCCCGTTCCTCTTCACTGAGTGGAATCTCCCAACTGGGGCCTCTAGCCACACCCAACAGTATTGTACTGTCTACAGATATTCAAAAACTCTCTAGGATGGAACTCCCAGAGGGAGGGGCAAGCCATCATCTTTGCCATTTTGGTGACTTAGCAGTTCCAGCCTTCCTTCAGGCTTTGGAGAGCCCAAGTGGACCAGGGGTGGAAACAGTATCCCACACAGCACAGCAGCCCCATGAAAACATGGCCAGACTGCTTTTGCAAGTTAGTACCCAACCCTATTCCTCATCACCAGGTAGTGCCTCCAAACCAGGGTTTCTGGCTACCCCACTGGTGTTCTCTGGCTGAAAGAGGTTTTGGGGCTCTTTGGGACAGAGCTCCCAGGAAGAGGGGTGGGCCACCATCTTTGCTGTTTGGAAAACTTAGCCGTTCCAGCCTTTGGGCTTTGGAGTATCTGAGGCAATCAGGAGCTGAAGTAGACTACTAGCACAGCACAGCTGCTCTAGGAAAACGTGGCCAGACTGCTTTTTTAAGCAGGTCCCTGATTCCAGTTCTCCTAACTGGATGAGAAATCCCATCCTGGGTCCCCAGCTATTAGGGGAACCAGCCCCCAATATTTCAACGTAGGTTCTTTTCTCTTTACCCTAAGTGTCAGCCGGTCTGAGAAATAAAGAGAAAGAGTACAAAAGAGAGAAATTTTACAGCTGGGCCTCCGGGGGTGACATCACATATTGGCAGGTTCCATGATGCCCACCTGAGCTGCAAAACCGGCAAGTTTTTATTAGCGATTTCAAAAGGGGAGGGGTGTATGAATAGGGAGTGGGTTACAGAGATCATATGCTTCATAGGTCAATAAAAGATCACAAGGCAGAAGGGCAGAGCAAGATCACAGGCCAGGGTGAAATTAGAATTACTAATGAGGTTCCATGTCTCACTGTGCATGCGTTGTCATTGATAAACATCTTAACAGGAAACAGCATTCAAGAGCAGAGAACCCATCTGACTAGAATTCGCCAGGCTGGAATTTCCTAATCCTAGCAAGCCTGAGGGTGCTGCAGGAGACCAGGGTGTATTTCATCCCTTATTTTCAACTGCATAAGGCAGAAACTTCCAGAGCAGCCATTTTAGAGAACTTCCCCTGGGAATGCATTCTTTTCCCAGGGCTACTCCTTGCTGAGAAAAAGAATTCAGTGATATTTCTCCTATTCGCTTTTGTAAGAAGAGAAATATGACTCTGTTCTGTCCGGCCCCGCAGGCAGTCAGACCTTATGGTTATCTCCCTTGTTCCCTGAAAATTGCTGTTATCCTGTTCTTTTAGGATGCCCAGATTTCCTATTATTCAAATACACATGTTTTACAAACAATTTGTACAGATAATGCAATCATCACAGGGTCCTGAGGGGACATACATCCTCAGCTTACGAAGATGACAGGATTAAGAGATTAAAGTAAAGACAGGCATAGGAAATTATAAATAAGAGTATTGATTGGAGAAGTGATAAATGTGCATGAAATCTTCACAATTTATGTTCTTCTGCTGTGGGCTTCAGCAGGTCTCTCCATTCAGGGTCCCTGATTTCCCACAACACCCAGCCACCTCCTACAGGGGCATTCAGGCCAGAAACTGGTCCATAACCACTTTGGGACAGAGCTTCCAGAGGAAGGGCACACTGCCATCTTTGCTGTTTAACAGCCTTCATTGGTGATACCTACAGGTACTGGGAAATATGAGGCAACTAAGGACTGGAGTGGACTCCCAACATACTGTAGCAGCACTACAGAAAATCGGCCAGAATGTTAAAAGAAAAAAATAAAGATTTATATACCAGCAACCTCAAAGATTGAAGGTAGATAAGCCCACAAAAATGAGAAATAATCAGCTCAAGAATGCTAAAATCTCAAAAAGCCATGGGTCCCTTTTTCCTTGAAATGACCAAATAACCTCTCCAGCAAGAGCTTGGAACTGGGCTGAAGTGGAAATGGTTGACAAGACAGAAGAAGAATTCAGAATATGGACAGGAACAAAGTTCACTCAGCTAAAGGAGCACATTGTAACACAATTCAAGGAAGCAAAAAGTTATGAAAAAGCATTGCAGGAACCGACAGAAAAAACAGTCAGTATAAAGAAGAATGTAGTCAACCTGATAGAGCTGTAAAACAGAATAAAAGAATATCATAATAAATTCACAAGTATTAATAGCGAGTAGACCAAGCAGAGGAAAGAATCTCAGAGCTTGAAGACTGACTTTCTGAAATAAGACAGGCAGACAAGAATAGAAAAAAAGAATGAAACAGAATAAATAAAACCTTCAAGAAATATGGAATTATAGGCAGGGCACAGTGACTCATGCCTGTACTCCCAGCACTTTGGGAGGCTGAGGCAGGCAGATCACTTAAGGTCAGGCGTTCAAGACCAGCCTGGCCAACATGATGAAGTCCTGTCTTTACTAAAAATGCAAAAATTAGCAAGGCATGCTGGCACATGCCTGTAGTCCCAGATACTTGGGAGGCTGAGGTAGGAGAATGGCTTGAACCCAGGAGGCAGAGGTTGCAGTGAGCCAAGATCACGCCATTGCACTCCAGCCTGGGTGATAGAGTGAGACTCCATCACACACAAAAAAAGAAATATGGAATTATTAAAGAGACCAAATCTATGACAAATTTTAACAACTTGAGGATGATGAGACACTTTTTCCAGTGTCATATAATAACTACAATAAAATTTCTGGGTTGCTTCCTAGTAGTGTGTTTGTGCATGTTTATATATTCATATATACACACATATATATATATATATATACACACACATATATATATATATATATATATATATACACACATATATATGGACAAGCTGGTGATTAAAAATTATATGAACCACCATTAAACATTTACAGCAATTGATATTCAGCTCAGTGGCCATTACTAGTTTGTTTTATATTACTAGATTTTTACATTACATTACTAGTTTGTTTTACATTGTTTCATAGACTATATTAATTAATTAAATTAATTAATTAATAATTAAAATCACAGTTAGTGGCAGAACAGAAAAAGCTATCCTATCAATATTTTTTGATCCCTAGTCCAGTAATTTTTCCATGTTAACATAGTAAGGGAAACAATATTCATAATGCACTTAATATTATGCCTGGCACATAGCAGGTACTCAATAAATAATGTCAAGTAATATTATTACTCAAAATTATAGCAGTTGATAATGTTAAAAAAAGAAGCCAAAACAGAAATATATCAAGATGGAAAACCCAATGATATAATTTATATTTCAAATGATTAGAAAGATATAATATATCCTTCAAATGATTAAGTTTTTAAACAATATACATGTAATATTTCATTATGCCATTATTCTGATATTTTGAGAGCTCCCAAACTATGTTGAAGCTCCTCATCTCTCCCTGAATGCCTTAAATCAAGGTTTTTGGGCCATGGAACTCTTCACACAGTCTGGCAAAATTTATGAACCCATTTTCAGAATAATATTTTTAAATGCATGAAATAAAATACATGGGATTACAAAGGAAATCATTTATCTTGAAATAGTTATCAAAATACTAAAAAAAATTGCAATCCAATAACAAAATCTACCAGCAAGCCTAATAAGTGTAATTTTGAAATAGCTGTGAATCTAAATGATATTTTAAAGCGTTTTCAGTAACTGTAATATAATATGAAAATATTTGTAACTTTGGTAAGAAAAAGTCACAAGTATTGTATTATTTTGGTTTATTGCTTTATCCATTCACAATGGAAAGAAACACTAAATTTCAGGTAGATATAAAAGAATATAAGATGTATTTTTTAACTGTCCAAGGTCATGGGATCCCCTGAATTCTATTCATGATGGCATGTTTGAGCATCTGTGGACCCCAGTTTGTGAACTCTTGCCCTGAAACAAAGCCTGCCAGTTATCAAGAACCACCCATTGACAAAACAGTCGAAGTAAATATTCATATTTTCTTGGTCTTAAATAGAAAATGCCCGTGCTTTTTTCCCCGCCTCTTTTTTTTATTTTTAGGAGAAGGCAAACCTGCCAAAACAAATGACATGGAAGAGACAGAACAAGATAAATAGAAAAATTGACTCAGAGAAAAGAGCGATATTCAGGGAACATAGAACATTAAACAATTTTTTTTCCTGTTATGGAATAAACAACCAGGGATCAAGAAAGAACTCTTGGAAATAAAAAATCATGATTGCTGAACAATTGAAAAGATTTAAAGTTACACACCCATGCTGTCTTTCCTTTCTTCTACGTCCTCTTTACCGTCAAATTGGTGCTGAAAGAAGTCCTAGACCTCGGCAA
The DNA here is from genome assembly GCF_000001405.40 of Homo sapiens. Classification (NCBI taxonomy): domain Eukaryota; kingdom Metazoa; phylum Chordata; class Mammalia; order Primates; family Hominidae; genus Homo; species Homo sapiens. The sequence goes on along the minus strand of NC_000023.11, from coordinate 84,889,786 downwards.
GTTTACAACTTACCTCTTTTGTCCTCTGCTTCCAGTGCAGTAAGCATTTCATGAAGAGGGAACTGAAAAACCTTGTTTAGGCCTCCTTTCGTAAGCCAAGAACTCCAGCACAGTTTACCAGGGAGAATAGAGATATGAAGCTGGAGATGTTTTAAGGACTTGCCCATTATTAATGAAATAGTGCCTTTTTTTTCACACTTGAGTTTTCTTTTCTGTACATCGAGATTCTCTAGTCCGGCAGTTCTCAGTGGGGGTAATTTTGCCCACCCAGGAGACATTTGGCAATGTCTGGAGACATGGTTGGTTATCATAATTTGGGGATATACTTACTGGCACATAGGTGAAGTTCAAGGATGCAGCTAAGACACTCTACAATGCACAGGACAGCCCCTCCTACAAAAAATAATTATCAGGTCTGAAATGTGCAATAGTGCTGAGGTTGAAAAATCTAACAGTCAAGCACTGTCAAGGAAAAAAACAGAATTGGTAGAGCTGCCAAACTATACCCAAACCCTAAATGATAGCCACTTTCGATTTTAAAATTAGTTTAAAATAAAGACATTTATTTCTTCTCCCTATTCTGTGAGAAGTCCAGTACTCTATTTTAATCTATCAGTCTGTTTTGAATGTGTAGAGTTTACTTGACTAAAAAGTATCATGGATATTTCTCTCTCAAAATTGTAGACTGTGTCTAAGAGATATCAAAACAATTGGTTGATTGAATTTTTTATTATATGAGTTGACTGTTTTGACATCTTATAGATACAGGAAAGAACTGAGAAATGACAAAATACCTCAGAGGCAAGACTGAAATACTGATCTTAGTTTCTACATTTAGAATGCAGAAATTCCTATTGAAATATTACAGAAAAAAAGAAAATATGGAGAAATCTCATTTACAGCTGTAAGCCATTTATTTTATCAAAATATTTTATTTATTTTAAAATAATTTCCTCAGAAGATAGCCAGAGAGTTTTAATTTACAGTTAAAAATTAAAATGGAAAGCACTGACATTTTATAAACATGTTTTTAAAAAGTTTTAACCAAAACATGATTTAGGCCAGGTGTGGTGACTCAGGCCTGTAATCCCAGCACTGTGGGAGGCCAAGGTGGGAGGATGGCTCAAGCTCGGGAGTTTGAGATGAACCTGGTCAAAAAAATTATTTAATTAAGTTACTTTAGGAGTTATATTCACATTTCTCTATAGTTTTAAAAATTATAATATAACTGGCTAGATATATTATGCTAAGGCAGTGAAAAACTAAAGAACTATCATTTTAGAGCCGAGAGACACAGAATTTCATTCAAATTTTCACTTTGGATATTCATCCTTCATCAAATATATGACATTTCTACAACAATCTCAATTATGATAAAAAAGAAATAATTTAATGAAGATTTGTAGGTTCTGTGACTAAAATCATCAGTACCATAAAAGCCCAGGCTTCAAAGAAGTAAGAAATAATATTTTGAATGTTGCTAATTTAGTAATATTAAGAGCAGCAGTTTAGAAACTATGCTTCACCAGTAATTAGGAGATCCTGGTTTTAGTACTAGTACTATTTCTAACTTGCTGTGTGAGCTTCAGTATATCTAATCACCTTCTTAGGCTGCATGCAAGTTGCTCATTTGTAGGAGTGAGTTCTATTTATCATCGTATCTATACCTAGAATTATGTCTGATGAAGTAGATTGTTTGTTGAAGCAATGTTGTAGAAAAATTGCTAAAATAGGACAGAAAACAGTAGCTTTATGTACTTTCAGGGTTAGTTCTATGTAAAACATGAAGTAGCTTTCCATTCTTTGCTTCCCTTCCACTTTCAAGCACGCTTTCTTGTATTTGCATTGTTGATCGTCCCACATCTTTATTTTTCTATGTCTTCAAATGTCATCATCATGTTTGTAGTGCCACTGTGCCTTTGATCCATGTTCTTTCTCACAGAGTAATAGTTTCCCCTGGCATTTTTTCAAAGTTAACATGACTCAATTACGTCTGACCTAGGAGTCATCTCTTTTCTAAACCCTATTCTTGAGTTGGGGGTAGACGTTGGGACATTTTGCAAACCCCAGTTGTGAAATTTCAGCAACCCCCAAATTCTGGTGGTAGTATTTTAAGGTCAGGGCATGATGACTTCTTGGCACCACTAGAATTCTACTACATAAACAGACACCTGCTTTAAGGATAATTAATTTTTTTTTTTACTTCATAGATTGGACATGGCAATAAGAATGAGATTCAATTGATTTTAAAGTGCTTTTGAAAAAGTTAAATGCTATAGTATCTAAAATTTTTATTATGTCTCCATTTTCCTTGGTCTGTCATACTTAAGAGTCTATAATCTTGCCCTTCTCCAGCCAATCCTGGCTTCCTTTAAATCCCTTTGGAAAACCAGCTGCCTCATCACATGAGTTTACTTATTGTCACCAACACTATTATATCATGCTTTTTTCTACCTCTGTGCCTCCTGAGATCCCTGATTATAATGCAGTGAGTCAACCTTCTAGCCATTACTTCTTACCCCAATCAATTAAAGCAGTTTTTTTTTTGTTTGCTTTTTGCCCTTTTCAGCATCGGATCTATATGGCTATCTGTAGCATCCACTTTCACCTTAGGCCTGGATTTCTTTTCTCTTCTTTTTTTTTTTTTTTGAGATGGAGTTTCACTCTTGTCGCCCAGGCTGGAGCGCAATGGTGCAATCTCAGCTCACCACAACCTCCGCCTCCCGGGTTTAAGCGATTCTCCTGCCTCAGCCTCCCGAGTAGCTGGGATAACAGGCATGCGCCACCACGCCCAGCTAATTTTGTATTTTTAGTAGAGATGGGGTTTCTCCATGTTGGTCAGGCTGGTCTCGAACTCCCGACCTCAGGTGATCCGCCTGCCTCAGCCTCCCAAAGTGCTGGGATAACAGGCGTGAGCCACCACGCCCAGCCTAGGCCTGGATTTCTAAGTATATAACTCCTGGAGAAGGTTTCTTTCTGTTATGCCCATAAGTAGATGGCAG